>NC_000014.9:17304448-17538659 GCF_000001405.40 Homo sapiens | reverse complement strand
TCTGTCTTGATTTGATATGAAGATATTCCCGTTTCCAACGAAATCTTCAAATCTATCCAAATGTCCACTTGCAGATTCAACAAAGTGTTTTTCAGAACTGCTCTATCAAAAGAAAGATCCACGTGTGTTAGCTGAGTTCACACATCACGAACAAGTTTATGAGAATGCTTCTGTCTAGTTTTTATTTGAAGATATATCCTTTCTCACTATAGACCTGAAAGCTCTCCTAAAGTTCACTTCCAGATACTACAGAAAGAGTTTTTCAAAACTGCTGTACGAAAGGGAATGTTCAACTCTGTGACTTGAAAGCACACATCACAAGGAAGATTCTGAGGATGCTGCTGTCTACTTTTTATACGTAATCCCGTTTCCAACGAAATCCCCCAAGCTATCCAAATATCCACTTGCAGATTCCACAGAAAGACTGTTTCAAAACTGCTCTGTCAATAGAAAGGTTCAACTCTATTAGCTGCGTGCATATATCCCAAAGAAGATTCTGAGATTGCTTCTGTCTAGTTTTTATGGGAAGATATTTACCTTTTCACCGTAGGCGCCAAGGCGTTCCAAATGTCCACTTCCAGATACTACAAAAAGAGTGTTTCAAACCTACTCTGTGAAAGGGAATATTCAACTCTGTGACTTGAAGGCAGATATCACAAAGAAGTTTCTGAGAATGCTTCTGTCGAGATTTTATATGAAGATATTCCCGTTTCCAACGAAATCCTGAAATCTATCCAAATATCCCCTCGCAGATTCTACAAAAAGAGTGTTTCAAAACTGCTCTGTAAAAAGAAAGGTTCAACTCTGTTAGTTGAGTACACACATCACAAACAAGTTTCACAGAATGCTTCTTTCTAGCTTGTAGGGGAAGATATTCCCTTTATCACCATGGGCCTCAAACCGTCCAAAACGTCTACTTCCATATACTACAAAAAGAGCGTTTCAAACCTGCTCTATGAAAGGCAATGTTCAACTCTGTGACTTGAATGCAGACATCACAGAGCAGTTTATGAGAATGCTTCTGTCTAGATTTTATAGGAAGATATTCCCGTTTCCAACGAAATCTTCACAGCTATCCAAATATCCACTTGCAGATTCTACAAAAAGAGTGTATCAAAACTGCTCTGTCAAAAGGAAGGTTCTTCTCTGTTAGTTGAGTACATACGTCATAAAGGAGTTTCTGAGAATGTTTCTGTCTAGTGGTTATGGGAAGATATTTGCTTTTTCACCGTAGGCCTCAGAGCTCTCCAAATATCCCCTTGCACATGCTACAAAAAGAGTGCTTCAAAGCTGCTCTCTGAAACGGAATGTTCAACTCTATGAGTTGAATGCAAACATCACAAAGACGTTTCTGGGAATGCTTCTGTATAGATTTGATATGAAGATATTCCCGTTTCCAACGAAATCTTCAAATCTATCCAAATGTCCACTTGCAGATTCAACAAAAAGTGTTTTTCAGAACTGCTCTATCAAAAGAAAGATCCACCTCTGTTAGCTGAGTTCACACATCACAAACAAGTTTATGAGAATGCTTCTGTCTAGTTTTTATTTGAAGATATTTCCTTTCTCACCATAGAGCTGAAAGCTGTCCTAATGTTCACTTCCAGATACTACAGAAAGAGTGTTTCAAAACTGCTGTACGAAAGGGAATGTTCAACTATGTGACTTGAATGCACACATCACAAAGAAGTTTACTGAGGATGCTGCTGTCTACTTTTTATACGTAATCCCTTTTCCAACGAAATCCTCCAAGCTATCCAAATATCCACTTGCAGATTCCACAGAAAGACTGTTTCAAAACTGCTCTGTCAATAGAAAGGTTCAACTCTGTTAGCTTGCGTGCATATATCCCAAAGAAGATTCTGAGATTGCTTCTGTCTAGTTTTTATGGGAAGATATTTCTCTTTTCACCGTAGGTGTTAAGGCGCTCCAAATGTCCACTTCCAGATACTACAAAAAGAGTGTTTCAAACCTACTCTGTGAAAGGGAATATTCAACTCTGTGACTTGAATGCAGATATCACAAAGAAGTTTCTGAGAATGCTTCTGTCGAGATTTTATATGAAGATATTCCCGTTTCCAACGAAATGCTGAAATGTATCCAAATATCCCCTCGCAGATTCTACAAAAAGAGTGTTTCAAAAGTGCTCTGTAAAAAGAAAGGTTCAACTCTGTTAGTTGAGTACACACATCACAAACAAGTTTCACAGAATGCTTCTTTCTAGCTTGTAGGGGAAGATATTCCCTTTATCACCATGGGCCTCAAACCGTCTGAAACGTCCACTTCCATATACTACAAAAAGAGCGTTTCAAAGCTGCTCTATGAAAGGCAATGTTCAACTCTGTGACTTGAATGCAGACATCACAGAGCAGTTTCTGAGAATGCTTCTGTCTAGATTTTATAGGAAGATATTCCCGTTTCCAACGAAATCTTCACAGCTATCCAAATATCCACTTGCAGATTCTACAAAAAGAGTGTATCAAAACTGCTCTGTCAAAAGGAAGGTTCTTCTCTGTTAGGTGAGTGCATACGTCATAAAGGAGTTTCTGAGAATGTTTCTGTCTAGTGGTTATGGGAAGATATTTGCTTTTTCACCTTAGGCCTCAGAGCGCTCCAAATATCCCCTTGCACATACTACAAAAAGAGTGCTTCAAAGCTGCTCTCTGAAAGGGAATGTTCAACTCTATGGGTTGAATGCAAACATCACAAAGACGTTTCTGAGAATGCTTCTGTCTAGATTTGATATGAAGATATTCCCGTTTCCAACGAAATCTTCAAATCTATCCAAATGTCCACTTGCAGATTCAACAAAAAGTGTTTTTCAGAACTGCTCTATCAAAAGAAAGATCCACCTCTGTTAGCTGAGTTCACACATCACAAACAAGTTTATGAGAATGCTTCTGTCTAGTTTTTATTTGAAGATATTTCCTTTCTCACCATAGACCTGAAAGCTGTCCTAATGTTCACTTCCAGATACTACAGAAAGAGTGATTCAATACTGCTGTACGAAAGGGAATGTTCAACTCTGTGACTTGAATGCACACATCACAAAGAAGTTTCTGAGGATGCTGCTGTCTACTTTTTATACGTAATCCCGTTTCCAACGAAATCCTCCAAGCTATCCAAATATCCACTTGCAGATTCCACAGAAAGACTGTTTCAAAACTGCTCTGTCAATAGAAAGGTTCAACTCTGTTAGCTGCGTGCATATATCCCAAAGAAGATTCTGAGATTGCTTCTGTCTAGTTTTTATGGGAAGATATTTCCCTCTTCACCGTAGGTGTCAAGGCGCTCCAAATGTCCACTTCCAGATACTACAAAAAGAGTGTTTCAAACCTACTCTGTGAAAGGGAATATTCAACTCTGTGACTTGAATGCACACATCACAAAGAAGTTTCTGAGGATGCTTCTGTCGAGATTTTATATGAAGATATTCCCGTTTCCAACGAAATCCTGAAATGTATCCAAATATCCCCTCGCAGATTCTACAAAAAGAGTGTTTCAAAACTGCTCTGTAAAAAGAAAGGTTCAACTCTGTTAGTTGAGTACACTCATCACAAACAAGTTTCACAGAATGCTTCTTTCTAGCTTGTAGGGGAAGATATTCCCTTTATCACCATGGGCCTCCAACCGTCCGAAACATCCACTTCCATATACTACAAAAAGAGCGTTTCAAACCTGCTCTACGAAAGGCAATGTTCAACTCTGTGACTTGAATGCAGACATCACAGAGCAGTTTCTGAGAATGCTTCTGTCTAGACTTTATAGGAAGGTATTCCCGTTTCCAACGAAATCTTCACAGCTATCCAAATATCCACTTGCAGATTCTCCAATGGAGTGTATCAAAACTGCTCTGTCAAAAGGAAGGTTCTTCTGTTTTAGTTGAGTACTTACGTCATAAAGAAGTTTCTGAGAATGTTTCTGTCTAGTGGTTATGGGAAGATATTTGCTTTTTCACCTTAGGCCTCAGAGCGCTCCAAATATCCACTTGCACATACTACAAAAAGAGTGCCTCAAAGCTGCTCTCTGAAACGGAATGTTCAACTCTATGAATTGAATGCAAACATCACAAAGACGTTTCTGAGAATGCTTCTGTCTAGATTTGATATGAAGATATTCCCGTTTCCAACGAAATCTTGAAATCTATCCAAATGTCCACTTGCAGATTCAACAAAGTGTTTTTCAGAACTGCTCTATCAAAAGAAAGATCCACCTCTGTTAGCTGAGATCACACTTCACAAACAAGTTTATCAGAATGCTTCTGTCTAGTTTTTATTTGAAGATATATCCTTTCTCACTATAGACCTGAAAGCTGTCCTAAAGTTCACTTCCAGATACTACAGAAACAGTGTTTCAAAACTGCTGTACGAAAGGGAATGTTCAACTCTGTGACGTGAATGCACACATCACAAGGATGTTTCTGAGGATGCTGCTGTCTACTTTTTATACGTAATCCCGTTTCCAACGAAATCCTCCAAGCTATCCAAATATCCACTTGCAGTTTCCACAGAAAGACTGTTTCAAAACTGCTCTGTCAATAGAAAGGTTCAACTCTGTTAGCTGCGTGCATATATCCCAAAGAAGATTCTGAGATTGCTTCTGTCTAGTTTTTATGGGAAGATATTTCCCTTTTCACCATAGGCGTCAAGGCGCTCCAAATGTCCACTTCCAGATACTACAAAAAGAGTGTTTCAAACCTACTCTGTGAAAGGGAATATTCAACTCTGTGACTTGAATGCACATATCACAAAGAAGTTTCTGAGAATGCTTCTGTCGAGATTTTATATAAAGATATTTCCGTTTCCAACGAAATCCTGAAATCTATCCAAATATCCCCTCGCAGATTCTACAAAAAGAGTGTTTCAAAACTGCTCTGTAAAAAGAAAGGTTCAACTCTGTTAGTTGAGTACACACATCACAAACAAGTTTCACAGAATGCTTCTTTCTAGCTTGTAGGGGAAGATATTCCCTTTATCACCATGGGCCTCCAACCGTCCGAAACATCCACTTCCATATACTACAAAAAGAGCGTTTCAAACCTGCTCTATGAAAGGCAATGTTCAACTCTGTGACTTGAATGCAGACATCACAGAGCAGTTTCTGAGAATGCTTCTGTCTAGATTTTATAGGAAGATATTCCCGTTTCCAACGAAATCTTCACAGCTATCCTAATATCCACTTGCAGATTCTACAAAAAGAGTGTATCAAAACTGCTCTGTCAAAAGGAAGGTTCTTTTCTGTTAGTTGAGTGCATACGTCATAAAGGAGTTTCTGAGAATGTTTCTGTCTAGTGGTTATGGGAAGATATTTTCTTTTTCCCCGTAGGCCTCAGGGCGCTCCAAATGTCCACTTGCACATGCTACAAAAAGAGTGCTTCAAAGCTACTCTCTGGAAGGGAATGTTCAACTCTATGAGTTGAATGCAAACATCACAAAGACGTTTCTGAGAATGCTTCTGTCTAGATTTGATATGAAGATATTCCCGTTTCCAACGAAATCTTCAAATCTATCCAAATATCCACTTGCAGATTCAACAAAGTGTTTTTCAGAACTGCTCTATCAAAAGAAAGATCCACCTCTGTTAGCTGAGTTCACACTTCACAAACAAGTTTATCAGAATGCTTCTGTCTAGTTTTTATTTGAAGATATTTCCTTTCTCACCATAGAGCTGAAAGCTGTCCTAATATTCACTTCCAGATACTACAGAAAGAGTGTTTCAAAACTGCTGTACGAAAGGGAATGTTCAACTCTGTGACTTGAATGCACACATCACAAAGAAGTTTCTGAGGATGCTGCTGTATACTTTTTATACTTAATCCCGTTTCCAACGAAATCCTCCAAGCTATCCAAATATCCACTTGCAGATTCCACAGAAAGACTGTTTCAAAACTGCTCTGTCAATAGAAAGGTTCAACTCTGTTAGCTGCGTGCATATATCCCAAAGAAGATTCTGAGATTGCTTCTGTCTAGTTTTTATGGGAAGATATTTCCCTTTTCACCGTAGGCGTCAAGGCGCTCCAAATGTCCACTTCCAGATACTACAAAAAGAGTGTTTCAAACCTACTCTGTGGAAGGGAATATTCAACTCTGTGACTTGAATGCAGATATCACAAAGAAGTTTCTGAGAATGCTTCTGTCGAGATTTTATATGAAGATATTCCCGTTTCCAACGAAATCCTGAAATCTATCCAAATATCCCCTCGCAGATTCTACAAAAAGAGTGTTTCAACACTGCTCTGTAAAAAGAAAGGTTCAACTCTGTTAGTTAAGTACACACATCACAAACAAGTTTCACAGAATGCTTCTTTCTAGCTTGCAGGGGAAGATATTCCCTTTATCACCATGGGCCTCAAACCGTCCGAAACGTCTACTTCCATATAGTACAAAAAGAGCGTTTCAAACCTGCTCTATGAAAGGCAATGTTCAACTCTGTGACTTGAATGCAGACATCACAGAGCAGTTTCTGAGAATGCTTCTGTCTAGATTTTATAGGAAGATATTCCCGTTTCCAACGAAATCTTCACAGGTATCCAAATATCCACTTGCAGATTCTACAAAAAGAGTGTATCAAAACTGCTCTGTCAAAAGGAAGGTTCTTCTCTGTTAGGTGAGTGCATACGTCATAAAGGAGTTTCTGAGAATGTTTTCTGTCTAGTGGTTATGGGAAGATATTTGCTTTTTCACCGTAGGCCTCAGAGGGCTCCAAATATCCACTTGCACATACTACAAAAAGAGTGCCTCAAAGCTGCTCTCTGAAACGGAATGTGCAACTCTATGAGTTGAATGCAAACATCGCAAAGACGTTTCTGAGAATGCTTCTGTCTAGATTTGATATGAAGATATTCCCGTTTCCAACGAAATCTTCAAATGTATCCAAATGTCCACTTGCAGATTCAACAAAAAGTGTTTTTCAGAACTGCTCTATCAAAAGTAAGATCCACCTCTGTTAGCTGAGTTCACACCTCACAAACAAGTTTATGAGAATGCTTCTGTCTAGTTTTTATTTGAAGATATTTCCTTTCTCACCATAGAGCTGAAAGCTGTCCTAATGTTCACTTCCAGATACTACAGAAAGAGTGTTTCAAAACTGCTGTACGAAAGGGAATGTTCAACTCTGTGACTTGAATGCACACATCACAAAGAAGTTTCTGAGGATGCTGCTGTCTACTTTTTATACGTAATCCCGTTTCCAAAGATATCCTCCAAGCTATCCAAATATCCACTTGCAGATTCCACAGTAAGACTGTTTCAAAACTGCTCTGTCAATAGAAAGGTTCAACTCTGTTAGCTGCGTGCATATATCCCAAAGAAGATTCTGAGATTGCTTCTGTCTAGTTTTTATGGGAAGATATTTCCCTTTTCACCGTAGGTGTCAAGGCGCTCCAAATGTCCACTTCCAGATACTACAAAAAGAGTGTTTCAAACCTACTCTGTGAAAGGGAATATTCAACTCTGTGACTTAAAGGGAGATATCACAAAGAAGTTTCTGAGAATGCTTCTGTCGAGATTTTCTATGAAGATATTCCCGTTTCCAACGAAATCCTGAAATCTATTCAAATATCCCCTCGCAGATTCTACAAAAAGAGTGTTTCAAAACTGCTCTGTAAAAAGAAAGGTTCAACTCTGTTAGTTGAGTACACACATCACAAACAAGTTTCACAGAATGCTTCTTTCTAGCTTGTAGGGGAAGATATTCCCTTTATCACCATGGGCCTCAAACCGTCCGAAACGTCCACTTCCATATACTACAAAAAGAGCGTTTCAAACCTGCTCTAGGAAAGGCAATGTTCAACTCTGTGACTTGAATGCAGACATCAAAGAGCAGGTTCTGAGAATGCTTCTGTCTAGATTTTATAGGAAGATATTCCCGTATCCAACGAAATCTTCACAGCTATCCAAATATCCACTTGCAGATTCTACAAAAAGAGTGTATCAAAACTGCTCTGTCAAAAGGAAGGTTCTTCTCTGTTAGTTGAGTACATACGTCATAAAGGAGTTTCTGAGAATGTTTCTGTCTAGTGGTTATGGGAAGATATTTGCTTTTTCACCGTAGGCCTCAGAGCGCTCCAAATATCCACTTGCACATACTACAAAAAGAGTGCTTCAAACCTGCTCTCTGAAACGGAATGTTCAACTCTATGAGTTGAATGCGAACATCACAAAGACGTTTCTGAGAATGCTTCTGTCTAGATTTGATATGAAGATATTCCCGTTTCCAACGAAATCTTCAAAGCTATCCAAATGTCCACTTGCAGATTCAACAAAAAGTGTTTTTCAGAACTGCTCTATCAAAAGAAAGATCCACCTCTGTTAGCTGAGTTCACACATCACAAACAAGTTTATGAAAATGCTTCTGTCTAGTTTTTATTTGAAGATATTTCCTTTCTCACCATAGACCTGAAAGCTGTCCTAATGTTCACTTCCAGATACTACAGAAAGAGTGTTTCAAAACTGCTGTACGAAAGGGAATGTTCAACTCTGTGACTTGAATGCACACATCACAAAGAAGTTTCTGAGGATGCTGCTGTCTACTTTTTATACGTAATCCCGTTTCCAACGAAATCCACCAATCTATCCAAATATCCACTTGCAGATTCCACAGAAAGACTGTTTCAAATCTGCTCAGTCAATAGAAAGGTTCAACTCTGTTAGCTGCGTGCATATATCCCAAAGAAGATTCTGAGATTGCTTCTGTCTAGTTTTTATGGGAAGATATTTCCCTTTTCACCGTAGGTGTCAAGGCGCTCCAAATGTCCACTTCCAGATACTACAAAAAGAGTGTTTCAAACCTACTCTGTGAAAGGGAATATTCAACTCTGTGACCTGAATGCACATATCACAAAGAAGTTTCTGAGAATGCTTCTGTCGAGATTTTATATGAAGATATTCCCGTTTCCAACGAAATGCTGAAATCTATCGAAATATCCCCTCGCAGATTCTACAAAAAGAGTGTTTCAAAACTGCTCTGTGAAAAGAAAGGTTCAACTCTGTTAGTTGAGTACACACATCACAAACAAGTTTCACAGAATGCTTCTTTCTAGCTTGTAGGGGAAGATATTCCCTTTATCACCATGGGCCTCAAACCGTCCGAAACGTCCACTTCCAAATACTACAAAAAGAGTGTTTCAAACCTGCTCTATGAAAGGCAATGTTCAACTCTGTGACTTGAATGCAGACATCACAGAGCAGTTTCTGAGAATGCTTCTGTCCAGACTTTATAGGAAGATATTCCCGTTTCCAACGATATCTTCACAGCTATCCAAATATCCACTTGCAGATACTACAAAAAGAGTGTATCAAAAATGCTCTGTCAAAAGGAAAGTTCTTCTCTGCTAGTTGAGTACATACGTCATAAAGAAGTTTCTGAGAATGTTTCTGTCTAGTGGTTATGGAAAGATATTTGCTTTTTCACCGTAGGCCTCAGAGCGCTCCAAATATCCACTTGCACATACTACAAAAAGAGTGCCTCAAAGCTGCTCTCTGAAACGGAATGTTCAACTCTATGAGTTGAATGCAAACATCGCAAAGACGTTTCTGAGAATGCTTCTGTCTAGATTTGATATGAAGATATTCCCGTTTCCAACGAAATCTTCAAATCTATCCAAATGTCCACTTGCAGATTCAACAAAATGTGTTTTTCAAAACTGCTGTATCAAAAGAAAGATCCACGTCTGTTAGCTGAGTTCACACATCACAAACAAGTTTAGGAGAATGCTCTGTCTAGTTTTTATTTGAAGATATTTCCTTTCTCACCATAGAGCTGAAAGCTGTCCTAATGTTCACTTCCAGATACTACAGAAAGAGTGTTTCAAAACTGCTGTACGAAAAGGAATGTTCAACTCTGTGACTTGAATGCACACATCACAAAGAAGTTTCTGAGGATGCTGGCTTTCTACTTTTTATACGTAATCCCGTTTCCAACGAAATCCTCCAAGCTATCCAAATATCCACTTGCAGATTCCACAGAAAGACTGTTTCAAAACTGCTCTGTCAATAGAAAGGTTCAACTCTGTTAGCTGCGTGCATATATCCCAAAGAAGATTCTGAGATTGCTTCTGTCTAGTTTTCATGGGAAGATATTTCCCTTTTCACCGTAGGCGTCAAGGCGCTCCAAATGTCCACTTCCAGATACTACAAAAAGAGTGTTTCAAACCTACTCTGTGAAAGGGAATATTCAACTCTGTGACTTGAATGCACATATCACAAAGAAGTTTCTGAGAATGCTTCTGTCGAGATTTTATATGAAGATATTCCCGTTTCCAACGAAATCCTGAAATCTATCCAAATATCCCCACGCAGATTCTACAAAAAGAGTGTTTCAAAACTGCTCTGTAAAAAGAAAGGTTCAACTCTGTTAGTTGAGTACACACATCACAAACAAGTTTCACAGAATGCTTCTTTCTAGCATGTAGGGGAAGATATTTCCTTTATCACCATGGTCCTCAAACCGTCCGAAACATCCACTTCCATATACTAAAAAAAGAGTGTTTGAAACCTGCTCTATGAAAGGCAATGTTCAACTCTGTGACTTGAATGCAGACATCTCAGAGCAGTTTCGGAGAATGCTTCTGTCTAGCATTTTATAGGAAGATATTCCCGTTTCCAACGAAATCTTCACAGCTATCCAAATATCCACTTGCAGATTCTACAAAAAGAGTGTATCAAAACTGCTCTGTCAAAAGGAAGGTTCTTCTCTGTTAGGTGAGTGCATACGTCATAAAGGAGTTTCTGAGAATGTTTCTGTCTAGTGGTTATGGGAAGATATTTGCTTTTTCACCTTAGGCCTCAGAGCGCTCCAAATATCCACTTGCACATACTACAAAAAGAGTGCCTCAAAGCTGCTCTCTGAAACGGAATGTTCAACTCTATGAGTTGAATGCAAACATCGCAAAGACGTTTCTGAGAATGCTTCTGTCTAGATTTGATATGAAGATATTCCCGTTTCCAACGAAATCTTCAAATCTATCCAAATGTCCACTTGCAGATTCAACAAAAAGTGTTTTTCAGAACTGTTCTATCAAAAGAAAGATCCACCTCTCTTAGCTGAGTTCACACATCACAAACAAGTTTATGAGAATGCTTCTGTCTAGTTTTTATTTGAAGATATTTCCTTTCTCACCATAGACCTGAAAGCTGTCCTAATGTTCACTTCCAGTTACTACAGAAAGAGTGTTTCAAAACTGCTGCACGAAAGGGAATGTTCAACTCTGTGACTTGAATGCACACATCACAAAGAAGTTTCTGAGGATGCTGCTGTCTACTTTTTATACGTAATCCCATTTCCAACGAAATCCTCCAAGCTATCCAAATATCCACTTGCAGATTCCACAGAAAGACTGTTTCAAAACTGCTATGTCAATAGAAAAGTTCAACTCTGTTAGCTGTGTGCATATATCCCAAAGAAAATTCTGAGATTGCTTCTGTCTAGTTTTTATGGGAAGATATTTCCCTTTTCACCGTAGGGGTCAAGGCGCTCCAAATGTCCACTTCCAGATACTATAAAAAGAGTGTTTCAAACCTACTCTGTGAAAGGGAATATTCAACTCTGTGACTTGAATGCAGATATCATAAAGAAGTTTCTGAGAATGCTTCTGTCGAGATTTTGTATGAAGATATTCCCGTTTCCAACGAAATCCTGAAATCTATCCAAATTTCCCCTCGCAGATTCTACAAAAAGAGTGTTTCAAAACTGCTCTGCAAAAAGAAAGGTTCAACTCTGTTAGTTGAGTACACACATCACAAACAAGTTTCACAGAATGCTTCTTTCTAGCTTGTAGGGGAAGATATTCCCTTTATCACCATGGGCCTCAAACCGTCCGAAACGTCCACTTCCATATACTACAAAAAGAGCGTTTCAAACCTGCTCTACGAAAGGCAATGTTCAACTCTGTGACTTGAATGCAGACATCACAGAGCAGTTTCTGAGAATGCTTTCTGTCTAGATTTTATAGGAAGATATTCCCGTTTCCAACGAAATCTTCACAGCTATCCAAATATCCTCTTGCAGATTCTAGAAAAAGAGTGTATCAAAACTGCTCTGTCAAAAGGAAGGTTCTTTTCTGTTAGGTGAGTGCATACGTCATAAAGGAGTTTCTGAGAATGTTTCTGTTAGTGGTTATAGGAAGATATTTGCTTTTTCACCGTAGGCCTCAGAGCGCTCCAAATATCCACTTGCACATACTACAAAAAGAGTGCCTCAAAGCTGCTCTCTGAAACGGAATGTTCAACTCTATGAGTTGAATGCAAACATCGCAAAGACGTTTCTGAGAATGCTTCTGTCTAGATTTGATATGAAGATATTCCCGTTTCCAACGAAATCTTCAAATCTATCCAAATGTCCACTTGCAGATTCAACAAAAAGTGTTTTTCAGAATTGCTCTATCAAAAGAAAGATCCACCTCTGTTAGCTGAGTTCACACATCACAAACAAGTTTATGAGAATGCTTCTGTCTAGTTTTTATTTGAAGATATTTCCTTTCTCACCATAGACCTGAAAGCTGTCGTAATGTTTACTTCCAGATACTACAGAAAGAGTGTTTCAAAACTGCTGTATGAAACGGAATGTTCAACTCTGTGACTTGAATGCACACATCACAAAGAAGTTTCTGAGGATGCTGCTGTCTACTTTTTATACGTAATCCCGTTTTCAACGAAATCCTCCAAGCTATCCAAATATCCACTTGCAGATTCCACAGAAAGACTGTTTCAAAACTGCTCTGTCAATAGAAAGGTTCAACTCTGTTAGCTGCGTGCATATATCCCAAAGAAGATTCTGAGATTGCTTCTGTCTAGTTTTTATGGGAAGATATTTCCCTTTTCACCGTAGGTGTCAAGGCGCTCCAAATGTCCACTTCCAGATACTACAAAAAGAGTGTTTCAAACCTACTCTGTGAAAGGGAATATTCAACTCTGTGACTTGAATGCACATATCACAAGGAAGTTTCTGAGAATGCTTCTGTCGAGATTTTATATGAAGATATTCCCGTTTCCAACGAAATGTTGAAATGTATCCAAATATCCCCTCGCAGATTCTACAAAAAGAGTGTTTCAAAACTGCTCTGTAAAAACAAAGGTTCAACTCTGTTAGTTGAGTACACACATCACAAACAAGTTTCACAGAATGCTTCTTTCTAGCTTGTAGGGGAAGATATTCCCTTTATCACCATGGGCCTCAAACCGTCCGAAACGTCCACTTCCATATACTACAAAAAGAGCGTTTCAAACCTGCTCTATGAAAGGCAATGTTCAACTCTGTGACTTGAATGCAGACATCACAGAGCAGTTTCTGAGAATGCTTCTGTCTAGATTTGATATGAAGATATTCCCGTTTCCAACGAAATCTTCAAATCTATCCAAATGTCCACTTGCAGATTCAACAAAAAGTGTTTTTCAGAACTGCTCTATCAAAAGAAAAATCCACCTCCGTTAGCTGAGTTCACACTTCACAAACAAGTTTATCAGAATGCTTCTGTCTAGTGGTTATGGGATGATATTTGCTTTTTCACCGTAGGCCTCAGAGCGCTCCAAATATCCACTTGCACATACTACAAAAAGAGTGCTTCAAAGCTGCTCTCTGAAAGGGAATGTTCAACTCTATGAGTTGAATGCAAACATCACAAAGACGTTTCTGAGAATGCTTCTGTCTAGATTTGATATGAAGATATTCCCGTTTCCAACGAAATCTTCAAATCTATCCAAATGTCCACTTGCAGATTCAACAAAAAGTGTTTTTCAGAACTGCTCTATCAAAAGAAAGATCCACGTGTGTTAGCTGAGTTCACACATCACAAACAAGTTTATGAGAATGCTTCTGTCTGGTTTTTATTTGAAGATATTTCCTTTCTCACCATAGACCTGAAAGCTGTCCTAATGTTCACTTCCAGATACTACAGAAAGAGTGTTTCAAAACTGCTGTACGAAAGGGAATGTTCAACTCTGTGACTTGAATGCACACATCACAAAGAAGTTTCTGAGGATGCTGCTGTCTACTTTTGATACGTAATCCCGTTTCCAACGAAATCCTCCAAGCTATCCAAATATCCACTTGCAGATTCCACAGAAAGACTGTTTCAAAACTGCTCTGTCAATAGAAAGGTTCAACTCTGTTAGCTGCGTGCATATATCCCAAAGAAGATTCTGAGATTGCTTCTGTCTAGTTTTTATGGGAAGATATTTCCCTTTTCACCGTAGGCGTCAAGGCGCTCCAAATGTCCACTTCCAGATACTACAAAAAGAGTGTTTCAAACCTACTCCGTGAAAGGGAATATTCAACTCTGTGACTTGAATGCACATATCACAAAGAAGTTTCTGAGAATGCTTCTGTCGAGATTTTATATGAAGATATTCCCGTTTCCAACGAAATCCTGAAATGTATCCAAATATCCCCTCGCAGATTCTACAAAAAGAGTGTTTCAAAACTGCTCTGTAAAAAGAAAGGTTCAACTCTGTTAGTTGAGTACACACATCACAAACAAGTTTCACAGAATGCTTCTTTCTAGCTTGTAGGGGAAGATATTCCCTTTATCACCATGGTCCTCAAACCGTCCGAAACGTCCACTTCCATATACTACAAAAAGAGCATTTCAAACCTGCTCTATGAAAGGCAATGTTCAACTCTGTGACTTGAATGCAGACATCACAGAGCAGTTTCTGAGAATGCTTCTGTATAGATTTTATAGGAAGATATTCCCGTTTCCAACGAAATCTTCACAGGTATCCAAATATCCACTTGCAGATTCTACAAAAAGAGTGTATCAAAACTGCTCTGTCAAAAGGAAGGTTCTTCTCTGTTAGGTGAGTGCATACGTCATAAAGGAGTTTCTGAGAATGTTTCTGTCTAGTGGTTATGGGAAGATATTTGCTTTTTCACCGTAGGCCTCAGAGCGCTCCAAATATCCACTTGCACATACTACAAAAAGAGTGCTTCAAACCTGCTCTCTGAAACGGAATGTTCAACTCTATGAGTTGAATGCAAACATCACAAAGACGTTTCTGAGAATGCTTCTGTCTAGATTTGATATGAAGATATTCCCGTTTCCAACGAAATCTTCAAATCTATCCAAATGTCCTCTTGCAGATTCAACAAAAAGTGTTTTTCAGAACTGCTCTATCAAAAGAATGATCGACGTGTGTTAGCTGAGTTCACACATCACGAACAAGTTTATGAGAATGCTTCTGTCTAGTTTTTATTTGAAGATATTTCCTTTCTCACCATAGACCTGAAAGCTGTCCTAATGTTCACTTCCAGATACTACAGAAAGAGTGTTTCAAAACTGCTGTACGAAAGGGAATGTTCAACTCTGTAACTTGAATGCACACATCACAAAGAAGTTTCTGAGGATGCTGCTGTCTACTTTTTATACGTAATCCCGTTTCCAACGAAATCCTCCAAGCTATCCAAATATCCACTTGCAGATTCCACAGAAAGACTGTTTCAAAACTGCTCTGTCAATAGAAAGGTTCAACTCTGTTAGCTGTGTCCATATATCCCAAAGAAGATTCTGAGATTGCTTCTGTCTAGTTTTTATGGGAAGATATTTCCCTTTTCACCGTAGGCGTCAAGGCGCTCCAAATGTCCACTTCCAGATACTACAAAAAGAGTGTTTCAAACCTACTCTGTGAAAGGGAATATTCAACTCAGTGATTTGAATGCAGATATCACAAAGAAGTTTCTGAGAATGCTTCTGTCGAGATTTTATATGAAGATATTCCCGTTTCCAACGAAATCCTGAAATCTATCCAAATATCCCCTCGCAGATTCTACAAAAAGAGTGTTTCAAAACTGCTCTGTGAAAAGGAAGGTTCAACTCTGTTAGTTGAGTACACACATCACAAACAAGTTTCACAGAATGCTTCCTTCTAGCTGGTAGGGGAAGATATTCACTTTATCACCATGGGCCTCAAACCGTCCGAAACGTCCACTTCCATATACTACGAAAAGAGCGTTTCAAACCTGCTCTATGAAAGGCAATGTTCAACTCTGTGACTTGAATGCAGACATCACAGAGCAGTTTCTGAGAATGCTTCTGTCTAGATTTTATAGGAAGATATTCCCGTTTTCAACGAAATCTTCACAGCTATCCAAATATCCACTTGCAGATTCTACAAAAAGAGTGTATCAAAACTGCTCTGTCAAGAGGAAGGTTCTTCTCAGTTAGGTGAGTGCATACGTCATAAAGGAGTTTCTGAGAATGTTTCTGTCTAGTGGTTATGGGAAGATATTTGCTTTTTCACCGTAGGCCTCAGAGCGCTCCAAATATCCACTTGCACATACTACAAAAAGAGAGCTTCAAAGCTGCTCTCTGAAACGGAATGTTCAACTCTATGAGTTGAATGCAAACATCACAAAGACGTTTCTGAGAATGCTTCTGTCTAGATTTGATATGAAGATATTCCCGTTTCCAATGAAATCTTCAAATCTATCCAAATGTCCACTTGCGGATTCAACAAAAAGTGTTTTTCAAAACTGCTGTATCAAAAGAAAGATCCACCTCTGTTAGCTGAGTTCACACATCACAAACAAGTTTATGAGAATGCTTTCTGTCTAGTTTTTATTTGAAGATATTTCCTTTCTCACCATAGAGCTGAAAGCTGTCCTAATGTTCACTTCCAGGTACTACAGAAAGAGTGTTTCAAAACTGCTGTACGAAAAGGAATGTTCAACTCTGTGACTTGAATGCACACATCACAAAGAAGTTTCTGAGGATGCTGCTGTCTACTTTTTATACGTAATCCCGTTTCCAACGAAATCCTCCAAGCTATCCAAATATCCACTTGCAGATTCCACAGAAAGACTGTTTCAAAACTGCTCTGTCAATAGAAAGGTTCAACTCTGTTAGCTGCGTGCATATATCCCAAAGAAGATTCTGAGATTGCTTCTGTCTAGTTTTTATGGGAAGATATTTCCCTTTTCACGGTAGGTGTCAAGGCGCTCCAAATGTCCACTTCCAGATACTACAAAAAGAGTGTTTCAAACCTACTCTGTGAAAGGGAATATTCAACTCTGTGACTTGAATGCACATATCACAAAGAAGTTTTTGAGAATGCTTCTGTCGAGATTTTGTATGAAGATATTCCCGTTTCCAACGAAATCCTGAATTCTATCCAAATTTCCCCTCGCAGATTCTACAAAAAGAGTGTTTCAAAACTGCTCTGTGAAAAGAAAGGTTCAACTCTGTTAGTTGAGTACACACATCACAAACAAGTTTCACAGAATGCTTCCTTCTAGCTTGTAGGGGAAGATATTCCCTTTATCACCATGGGCCTCAAACCGTCCGAAACGTCCACTTCCATATACTACAAAAAGAGCGTTTCAAACCTGTTCTAGGAAAGGCAATGTTCAACTCTGTGACTTGAATGCAGACATCACAGAGCAGTTTCTGAGAATGCTTCTGTCTAGTATTTTATAGGAAGATATTCCCGTTTCCAACGAAATCTTCACAGCTATCCAAATATCCACTTGCAGATTCTACAAAAAGAGTGTATCAAAACTGCTCTGTCAAAAGGAAGGTTCTTTTCTGTTAGGTGAGTGCATACGTCATAAAGGAGTTTCTGAGAATGCTTCTGTCTAGTGGTTATGGGAAGATATTTGCTTTTTCACCGTAGGCCTCAGAGCGCTCCAAATATCCACTTGCACATACTACAAAAAGAGTGCTTCAAAGCTGCTCTCTGAAACGGAATGTTCAACTCTATGAGTTGAATGCAAACATCACAAAGACGTTTCTGAGAATGCTTCTGTCTAGATTTGATATGAAGATATTCCCGTTTCCAACGAAATCTTCAAATCTATCCAAATGTCCACTTCCAGATTCAACAAAGTGTTCTTCAGAACTGCTCTATCAAAAGAAAGATCCACCTCTGTTAGCTGAGATCACACTTCACAAACAAGTTTATCAGAATGCTTCTGTCTAGTTTTTATTTGAAGATATTTCCTTTCTCACCATAGACCTGAAAGCTGTCCTAATGTTCACTTCCAGATACTACAGAAAGAGTGTTTCAAAACTGCTGTACGAAAGGGAATGTTCAACTCTGTGACTTGAATGCACACATCACAAAGAAGTTTCTGAGGATGCGGCTGTCTACTTTTTATACGTAATCCCGTTTCCAACGAAATCCTCCAAGCTATCCAAATATCCACTTGCAGATTCCACAGAAAGACTGTTTCAAAACTGCTCTGTCAATAGAAAGGTTCAACTCTGTTAGCTGCGTACATATATCCCAAAGAAGATTACTGAGATTGCTTCTGTCTAGTTTTTATGGGAAGATATTTCCCTTTTCACCGTAGGCGTCAAGGCGCTCCAAATGTCCACTTCCAGATACTACAAAAAGAGTCTTTCAAACCTACTCTGTGGAAGGGAATATTCAACTCTGTGACTTCAATGCAGATATCACAAAGAAGTTTCTGAGAATGCTTCCGTCGAGATTTTATATGAAGATATTCCCGTTTCCAACGAAATCCTGAAATCTATCCAAATATCCCCTCGCAGATTCCACAAAAAGAGTGTTTCAACACTGCTCTGTAAAAAGAAAGGTTCAACTCTGTTAGTTGAGTACACACATCACAAACAAGTTTCACAGAATGCTTCTTTCTAGCTTGTAGGGGAAGATATTCCCTTTATCACCATGGGCCTCAAACCGTCCGAAACGTCCACTTCCATATACTACAAAAAGAGCGTTTCAAACCTGCTCTATGAAAGGCAATGTTGAACTCTGTGACTTGAATGCAGACATCACAGAGCAGTTTCTGAGAATGCTTCTGTCTAGATTTTATAGGAAGATATTCCCGTTTGCAACGAAATCTTCACAGCTATCCAAATATCCACTTGCAGATTCTACAAAAAGAGTGTATCAAAACTGCTCTGTCAAAAGGAAGGTTCTTCTCTCTTAGTTGAGTACATACGTCATAAAGGAGTTTCTGAGAATGTTTCTGTCTAGCGGTTATGGGAAGATATTTGCTTTTTCACCGTAGGCCTCAGAGCGCTCCAAATATCCACTTGCAGATACTACAAAAAGAGTGCTTCAAAGCTGCTCTCTGAAACGGAATGTTCAACTCTATGAGTTGAATGCAAACATCACAAAGACGTTTCTGAGAATGCTTCTGTCTAGATTTGATATGAAGATATTCCCGTTTCCAACGAAATCTTCAAATCTATCCAAATGTCCACTTGCAGATTCAACAAAACGTGTTTTTCAGAACTGCTCTATCAAAAGAAAGATCCACGTCTCTAAGCTGAGTTCACACATCACAAACAAGTTTATGAGAATGCTTCTGTCTAGTTTTTATTTGAAGATATTTCCTTTCTCACCATAGACCTGAAAGCTGTCCTAATGTTCAGTTCCAGTTACTACAGAAAGAGTGTTTCAAAACTGCTGTACGAAAGGGAATGTTCAACTCTGTGACTTGAATGCACACATCACAAAGAAGTTTCTGAGGATGCTGCTGTCTACTTTTTATACTTAATCCCGTTTCCAACGAAATACTCCAAGCTATCCAAATATCCACTTGCAGATTCCACAGAAAGACTGTTTCAAAACTGCTCTGTCAATAGAAAGGTTCAACTCTGTTAGCTGCGTGCATATATCCCAAAGAAGATTCTGAGATTGCTTCTGTCTAGTTTTGATGGGAAGATATTTCCCTTTTCACCGTAGGCGTCAAGGCGCTCCAAATGTCCATTTCCAGATACTACAAAAAGAGTGTTTCAAACCTACTCTGTGAAAGGGAACATTCAACTCTGTGACTTGAATGCACATATCACAAGGAAGTTTCTGAGAATGCTTCTGTCGAGATTTTATATGAAGATATTTCCGTTTCCAACAAAATCCTGAAATCTCTCCAAATATCCCCTCGCAGATTCTACAAAAAGAGTGTTTCAAAACTGCTCTGTAAAAAGAAAGGTTCAACTCTGTTAGTTGAGTACACACATCACAAACAAGTTTCACAGAATGCTTCTTTCTAGCTTGTAGGGGAAGATATTCCCTTTATCACCATGGGCCTCAAACCGTCCGAAACGTCCACTTCCATATACTACAAAAAGAGCGCTTCAAACCTGCTCTATGAAAGACAATGTTCAACTACTGTGACTTGAATGCAGACATCACAGAGCAGTTTCTGAGAATGCTTCTGTCTAGATTTTATAGGAAGGTATTCCCGTTTCCAACGAATTCTTCACAGCTATCCAAATATCCACTTGCAGATTCTCCAATGGAGTGTATCAAAACTGCTCTCTCAAAAGGAAGGTTCTTCTGTTTTAGTTGAGTACATACGTGATAAAGAAGTTTCTGAGAATGTTTCTGTCTAGGGGTTATGGTAAGATATTTACTTTTTCCCCGTAGGCCTCAAAGCGCTCCAAATGTCCACTTGCACATACTTAAAAAGAGTGCTTCAAAGCTGCTCTCTGAAAGGGAATGTTCAACTCTATGAGTTGAATGCAAACATCACAAAGACGTTTCTGAGAATGCTTCTGTCTAGCTTTGATATGAAGATATTCCCGTTTGCAACGAAATCTTCAAATCTATCAAAATGTCCACTTGCAGATTCAACAAAACGTGTTTTTCAGAACTGCTCTATCAAAGGAAAGATACACCTCTGTTAGCTGAGTTCACACATCACAAACAAGTTTATGAGAATGCTTCTGTCTAGTTTTTATTTGAAGATATTTCCTTTCTCACCATAGACCTGAAAGCTGTCCTAATGTTCACTTCCAGATGCTACAGAAAGAGTGTTTCAAAACTGCTGTACGAAAGGGAATATTCAACTCTGTGACTTGAATGCACACATCACAAAGAAGTTTCTGAGGATGCTGCTGTCTACTTTTTATACTTAATCCCGTTTCCAACGAAATCCTCCAAGCTATCCAAATATCCACTTGCAGATTCCACAGAAAGACTGTTTCAAAACTGCTCTGTCAATAGAAAGGTTCAACTCTGTTAGCTGTGTGCATATATCCCAAAGAAGATTCTGAGATTGCTTCTGTCTAGTTTTTATGGGAAGATATTTCCCTTTTCACCGTAGGTGTCAAGGCGCTCCAAATGTCCACTTCCAGATACTACAAAAAGAGTGTTTCAAACCTACTCTGTGAAAGGGAATATTCAACTCTGTGACTTAAAGGCAGATGTCACAAAGAAGTTTCTGAGAATGCTTCCGTCGAGATTTTATATGAAGATATTCCCGTTTCCAACGAAATCCTGAAATCTATCCAAATATCCCCTCGCAGATTCCACAAAAAGAGTGTTTCAACACTGATCTGTAAAAAGAAAGGTTCAACTCTGTTAGTTGAGTACACACATCACAAACAAGTTTCACAGAATGCTTCTTTCTAGCTTGTAGGGGAAGATATTTCCTTTATCACCATGGTCCTCAAACCGTCCGAAACGTCCACTTCCATATACTAAAAAAAGAGTGTTTCAAACCTGCTCTATGAAAGGCAATGTTCAACTCTGTGACTTGAATGCAGACATCACAGAGCAGTTTCTGAGAATGCTTCTGTCCAGACTTTATAGGAAGATATTCCCGTTTCCAACGAAATCTTCACAGCTATCCAAATATCCACTTGCAGATAGTACAAAAAGAGTGTATCAAAAATGCTCGGTCAAAAGGAAAGTTCTTCTCTGCTACTTGAGTACATACGTCATAAAGAAGTTTCTGAGAATGTTTCTGTCTAGTGGTTATGGGAAGATATTTGCTTTTTCACCGTAGGCCTCAGAGCGCTCCAAATATCCACTTGCACATACTACAAAAAGAGTGCTTCAAAGCTGGTCTCTGAAAGGGAATGTTCAACTCTATGAGTTGAATGCAAACATCGCAAAGACGTTTCTGAGAATGCTTCTGTCTAGATTTGATATGAAGATATTCCCGTTTCCAACGAAATCTTCAAATCTATCCAAATGTCCACTTGCAGATTCAACAAAGCGTTTTTCAGAACTGCTCTATCAAAAGAAAGATCCACCTCTGTTAGCTGAGATCACACTTCACAAACAAGTTTATCAGAATGCTTCTGTCTAGTTTTTATTTGAAGATATATCCTTTCTCACTATAGACCTGAAAGCTCTCCTAAAGTTCACTTCCAGATACTACAGAAAGAGTGTTTCAAAACTGCTGTTCGAAAGGGAATGTTCAACTTCTGTGACTTGAATGCACACATCACAAGGATGTTTCTGAGGATGCTGCTGTCTACTTTTTATACGTAATCCCGTTTCCAAAGAAATCCTCCAAGCTATCCAAATATCCACTTGCAGATTCCACAGAAAGACTGTTTCAAAACTGCTCTGTCAATAGAAAGGTTCAACTCTGTTAGCTGCGTGCATATATCCCAAAGAAGATTCTGATATTGCTTCTGTCTAGTTTTCATGGGAAGATATTTCCCTTTTCACCATAGGCGTCAAGGCGCTCCAAATGTCCACTTCCAGATACTACAAAAAGAGTGTTTCAAACCTACTCTGTGAAAGGGAATATTCAACTCTGTGACTTGAATGCACATATCACAAAGAAGTTTCTGAGAATGCTTCTGTCGAGATTTTATATGAAGATATTCCCGTTTCCAACGAAATCCTGAAATCTATCCAAATATCCCCTCGCAGATTCTACAGAAAGAGTGTTTCAAAACTGCTCTGTAAAAAGAAAGGTTCAACTCTGTTAGTTGAGTACACATATCACAAACAAGTTTCACAGAATGCTTCTTTCTAGCTTGTAGGGGAAGATATTCCCTTTATCACCATGGGCCTCAAACCTTCCGAAACGTCAACTTCCATATACTACAAAAAGAGCGTTTCAAACCTGCTCTAGGAAAGGCAATGTTCAACTCTGTGACTTGAATGCAGACATCACAGAGCAGTTTCTGAGAATGCTTCTGTCTAGATTTTATAGGAAGATATTCCCGTTTCCAACGAAATCTTCACAGCTATCCAAATATCCACTTGCAGATTCTACAAAAAGAGTGTATCAAAACTGCTCTGTCAAAAGGAAGGTTCTTTTCTGTTAGGTGAGTGCATACGTCATAAAGGAGTTTCTGAGAATGTTTCTGTCTAGTGGTTATGGGAAGATATTTGATTTTTCACCGTAGGCCTCAGAGCGCTCCAAATATCCACTTGCACATACTACAAAAAGAGTGCTTCAAAGCTGCTCTCTGAAAGGGAATGTTGAACTCTATGAGTTGAATGCAAACATCACAAAGACGTTTCTGAGAATTCTTCTGTCTAGATTTGATATGAAGATATTCCCGTTTCCAAGGAAATCTTCAAATCTATCCAAATGTCCACTTGCAGATTCAACAAAAAGTGTTTTTCAGAACTGCTCTATCAAAAGAAAGATCCACCTCTGTTAGCTGAGTTCACACATCACAAACAAGTTTATGAGAATGCTTCTGTCTAGTTTTTATTTGAAAATATTTCCTTTCTCACCATAGAGCTGAAAGCTGTCCTAATGTTCACTTCCAGATACTACAGAAAGAGTGTTTCAAAACTGCTGTACGAAAGGGAATGTTCAACTCTGTGACTTGAATGCACACATCACAAAGAAGTTTCTGAGGATGCTGCTGTCTACTTTTTATACGTAATCCCGTTTCCAACGAAATCCTCCAAGCTATCCAAATATCCACTTGCAGATTCCACAGAAAGACTGTTTCAAAGCTGCTCTGTCAATAGAAAGGTTCAACTCTGTTAGCTGCGTGCATATATCCCAAAGAAGATTCTGAGATTGCTTCTGTCTAGTTTTTATGGGAAGATATTTCCCTTTTCACCGTAGGCGTCAAGGCGCTCCAAATGTCCACTTCCAGATACTACAAAAAGAGTGTTTCAAACGTACTCTGTGAAAGGGAATATTCAACTCTGTGACTTGAATGCACATATCACAAAGAAGTTTCTGAGAATGCTTCTGTCGAGATTTTATATGAAGATATTCCCGTTTCCAACGAAATCCTGAAATCTATCCAAATATCCCCTCGCAGATTCTACAAAAAGAGTGTTTCAAAACTGCTCTGTAAAAAGAAAGGTTCAACTCTGTTACTTGAGTACACACTTCACAAACAAGTTTCACAGAATGCTTCTTTCTAGCTTGTAGGGGAAGATATTTCCTTTATCACCATGGGCCTCAAACCGTCCGAAACGTCCACTTCCATATACTAAAAAAAGAGTGTTTCAAACCTGCTCTATGAAAGGCAATGTTCAACTCTGTGACTTGAATGCAGACATCACAGAGCAGTTTCTGAGAATGCTTCTGTCTAGATTTTATAGGAAGATATTCCCGTTTCCAACGAAATCTTCACAGCTATCCAAATATCCACTTGCAGATTCTACAAAAAGAGTTTATCAAAACTGCTCTGTCAAAAGGAAGGTTCTTCTCTGTTACTTGAGTACATACGTCATAAAGGAATTTCTGAGAATGTTTCTGTCTAGTGGTTATGGGAAGATATTTGCTTTTTCACCGTAGGCTTCACAGCGCTCCAAATATCCACTTGCACATACTACAAAAAGAGTGCTTCAAAGCTGCTCTCTGAAACGGAATGTTCAACTCTATGAGTTGAATGCAAACATCACAAAGACGTTTCTGAGAATGCTTCTGTCTAGATTTGATATGAAGATATTCCCGTTTCCAACGAAATCTTCAAATCTATCCAAATGTCCACTTGCAGATTCAACAAAAAGGGTTTTTCAAAACTGCTCTATCAAAAGAAAGATCCACGTCTGTTAGCTGAGTTCACACATCACAAACAAGTTTATGAGAATGCTTCTGTCTAGTTTTTATTTGAAGATATTTCCTTTTTCACCACAGAGCTGAAAGCTGTCCTAATGTTCACTTCCAGATACTACAGAAAGAGTGTTTCAAAACTGCTGTACGAAAGGGAATGTTCAACTCTGTGACTTGAATGCACACATCACAAAGAAGTTTCTGAGGATGCTGCTGTCTACTTTTTATACGTAATCCCGTTTCCAACGAAATCCTCCAAGCTATCCAAATATCCACTTGCAGATTCCACAGAAAGACTGTTTCAAAACTGCTCTGTCAATAGAAATGTTCAACTCTGTTAGCTGCGTGCATATATCCCAAAGAAGATTCTGAGATTGCTTCTGTCTAGCTTTTATGGGAAGATATTTCCCTTTTCACCGTAGGTGTCAAGGCGCTCCAAATGTCCACTTCCAGATACTACAAAAAGAGTGTTTCAAACCTACTCTGTGAAAGGGAATATTCAACTCTGTGACTTGAATGCAGATATCACAATGAAGTTTCTGAGAATGCTTCTGCCGAGATTTTCAAAGAAGATATTCCCGTTTCCAAGGAAATCCTGATATCTATCCAAATATCCCCACGCAGATTCTACAAAAAGAGTGTTTCAAAACTGCTCTGTAAAAAGAAAGGTTCAACTCTGTTAGTTGAGTACACACATCACAAACAAGTTTCACAGAATGCTTCTTTCTAGCTGGTAGGGGAAGATATTCCCTTTATCACCATGGGCCTCAAACCGTCCGAAACGTCCACTTCCATATACTACAAAAAAGAGCGTTTCAAACCTGCTCTATGAAAGGCAATGTTCAACTCTGTGACTTGAATGCACACATCACAGAGCAGTTTCTGAGAATGCTTCTGTCTAGATTTTATAGGAAGATATTCCCGTTTCCAACGAAATCTTCACAGCTATCCAAATATCCACTTGCAGATTCTACAAAAAGAGTGTATCAAAACTGCTCTGTCAAAAGGAAGGTTCTTCTTCTGTTAGTTGAGTACATACGTCATAAAGGAGTTTCTGAGAATGTTTCTGTCTAGTGGTTAAGGGAAGATATTTGCTTTTTCACCGTAGGCCTCAGAGCGCTCCAAATATCCACTTGCACATACTACAAAAAGAGTGCTTCAAAGCTGCTCTCTGAAACGGAATGTTCAACTCTATGAGTTGAATGCAAACATCACAAAGACGTTTCTGAGACTGCTTCTGTCTAGATTTGATATGAAGATATTCCCGTTTACAACGAAATCTTCAAATCTATCCAAATGTCCACTTGCAGATTCAACAAAGTGTTTTTCAGAACTGCTCTATCAAAAGAAAGATCCACCTCTGTTAGCTGAGATCACACTTCACAAACAAGTTTATCAGAATGCTTCTGTCTAGTTTTTATTTGAAGATATAACCTTTCTCACTATAGACCTGAAAGCTGTCCTAAAGTTCACTTCCAGATACTACAGAAAGAGTGTTTCAAAACTGCTGTACGAAAGGGAATGTTCAACTCTGTGACTTGAATGCACACATCACAAGGATGTTTCTGAGGATGCTGCTGTCTAATTTTTATACGTAATCCCGTTTCCAACGAAATCCTCCAAGCTATCCAAATATCCACTTGCAGATTCCACAGAAAGACTGTTTCAAAACTGCTCTGTCAATAGAAAGGTTCAACTTTGTGAGCTGCGTGCATATATCCCAAAGAAGATTCTGAGATTGCTTCTGTCTAGTTTTTATGGGAAGATATTTCCCTTTTCACCGTAGGTGTCAAGGCGCTCCAAATGTCCACTTCCAGATACTACAAAAAGAGTGTTTCAAACCTACTCTGTGAAAGGGAATATTCAACTCTGTGACTTGAATGCACATATCACAAAGAAGTTTCTGAGAATGCTTCTGTCGAGATTTTATATGAAGATATTCCCGTTTCCAACGAAATCCTGAAATCTATCCAAATATCCCCTCGCAGATTCTACAAAAAGAATGTTTCAAAACTGCTCTGTAAAAAGAAAGGTTCAACTCTGTTAGTTGAGTACACACATCACAAACAAGTTTCACAGAATGCTTCTTTCTAGCTTGTAGGGGAAGATATTCCCTTTATCACCATGGGCCTCCAACCGTCCGATAAGTCCACTTCCATATACTACAAAAAGAGCGTTTCAAACCTGCTCTATGAAAGGCAATGTTCAACTCTGTGACTTGAATGCAGACATCACAGAGCAGTTTCTGAGAATGCTTTTGTCTAGGTTTTATAGGAAGATATTCCCTTTTCCAACGAAATCTTCCAAGCTATCCAAATATCCACTTGCAGATTCTACAAAAAGAGTGTATCAAAACTGCTCTGTCAAAAGGAAGGTTCTCCTCTGTTAGTTGAGTACATACGTCATAAAGGAGTTTCTGAGAATGTTTCTGTCTAGTGGTTATGGGAAGATATTTGCTTTTTCACCCGTAGGTCTCAGAGCGCTCCAAATATCCACTTGCACATACTACAAAAAGAGTGCTTCAAAGCTGCTCTCTGAAACGGAATGTTCAACTCTATGACTTGAATGCAAACATCACAAAGACGTTTCTGAGAATGCTTCTGTCTAGATTTGATATGAAGATATTCCCGTTTCCAACGAAATCTTCAAATCTATCCAAATGTCCACTTGCAGATTCAACAAAAAGTGTTTTTCAGAACTGCTCTATCAAAAGAAAGATTCACCTCTGTTAGCTGAGTTCACACATCACAAACAAGTTTATGAGAATGCTTCTGTCTAGTTTTTATTTGAAGATATTTCCTTTCTCACCATAGAGCTGAAAGCTGTCCTAATGTTCACTTCCAGATACGACAGAAAGAGTGTTTCAAAACTGCTGTACGAAAGGGAATGTTCAAATCTGTGACTTGAATGCACACATCACAAAGAAGTTTCTGAGGATGCTGCTGTCTACTTTTTATACGTAATCCCGTTTCCAACGAAATCCTCCAAGCTATCCAAATATCCACTTGCAGATTCCACAGAAAGACTGTTTCAAAACTGCTCTGTCAATAGAAAGGTTCAACTCTGTTAGCTGCGTGCATATATCCCAAAGAAGATTCTGAGATTCCTTCTGTCTAGTTTTTATGGGAAGATATTTTCCTTTTCACCGTAGGCGTCACGGCGCTCCAAATGTCCACTTCCAGATACTACAAAAAGAGTGTTTCAAACCTACTCTGTGAAAGGGAATATTCAACTCTGTGACTTGAATGCAGATATCACAAAGAAGTTTCTGAGAATGCTTCTGTCGAGATTTTATATTAAGATATTCCCGTTTCCAACGAAATCCTGAAATCTATCCAAATATCCCCTCGCAGATTCTACAAAAAGAGTGTTTCAAAACTGCTCTGTAAAAAGAAAGGTTCAACTCTGTTAGTTGAGTACACACATCACAAACAAGTTTCACAGAATGCTTCTTTCTAGCTTGTAGGGGAAGATATTCCCTTTATCACCATGGGCCTCAAACCGTCCGAAACGTCCACTTCCATATACTACAAAAAGAGCGTTTCAAATTTGCTCTAGGAAAGGCAATGTTCAACTCTGTGACTTGAATGCAGACATCACAGAGCAGTTCCTGAGAATGTTATTGTCTAGATTTTATAGGAAGATATTCCCGTTTCCAACGAAATCTTCACAGCTATCCAAATATCCACTTGCAGATTCTACAAAAAGAGTGTATCAAAACTGCTCTGTCAAAAGGAAGGTTCTTCTCTGTTAGGTGAGTGCATACGTCATAAAGGAGTTTCTGAGAATGTTTCTGTCTAGTGGTTATGGGAAGATATTTGCTTTTTCACCGTAGGCCTCAGAGCGCTCCAAATATCCACTTGCACATACTACAAAAAGAGTGCTTCAAAGCTGCTCTCTGAAACGGAATGTTCAACTCTCTGAGTTGAATGCAAACATCACAAAGACGTTTCCGAGAATGCTTCTGTCTAGATTTGATATGAAGATATTCCCGTTTCCAACGACATCTTCAAATCTATCCAAATGTCCCCTTGCAGATTCAACAAAACGTGTTTTTCAGAACTGCTCTATCAAAAGAAAGATCCACCTCTGTTAGCTGAGTTCACACATCACAAACAAGTTTATGAGAATGCTTCTGTCTAGTTTTTATTTGAAGATATCTCCTTTCTCACCATAGACCTGAAAGCTGTCCTAATGTACACTTCCAGATACTACAGAAAGAGTGTTTCAAAACTGCTGTACGAAAGGGAATGTTCAACTCTGTGACTTGAATGCACACATCACAAAGAAGTTTCTGAGGATGCTGTGGTCTACTTTATATACGTAATCCCGTTTCCAACGAAATCCTCCAAGCTATCCAAATATCCACTTGCAGATTCCACAGAAAGACTGTTTCAAAACTGCTCTGTCAATAGAAAGGTTCAACTCTGTTAGCTGCGTGCATATATCCCAAAGAAGATTGCTGAGATTGCTTCTGTCTAGTTTTTATGGGAAGATATTTCCCTTTTCACCGTGGGCGTCAAGGCGCTCCAAATGTGCACTTCCAGATACTACAAAAAGAGTGTTTCAAACCTACTCTGTGAAAGGGAATATTCAACTCTGTGACTTGAATGCACATATCACAAGGAAGTTTCTGAGAATGCTTCTGTCGAGATTTTATATGAAGATATTCCCGTTTCCAACGAAATGCTGAAATGTATCCAAATATCCCCTCGCAGATTCTACAAAAAGAGTGTTTCAAAACTGCTCTGTAAAAAGAAAGGTTCAACTCTGTTAGTTGAGTACACACATCACAAACAAGTTTCACAGAATGCTTCTTTCTAGCTTGTAGGGGAAGATATTCCCTTTATCACCATGGGCCTCCAACCGTCCGAAACATCCACTTACATATACTACAAAAAGAGCGTTTCAAACCTGCTCTATGAAAGGCAATGTTCAACTCTGTGACTTGAATGCAGACATCACAGAGCAGTTTCTGAGAATGCTTCTGTCTGGCATTTTATAGGAAGATATTCCCGTTTCCAACGAAATCTTCACAGCTATCCAAATATCCACTTGCAGATTCTACAAAAAGAGTGTATCAAAACTGCTCTGTCAAAAGGAAGGTTCTTCTCTGTTAGTTGAGTACATACGTCATAAAGGAGTTTCTGAGAATGTTTCTGTCTAGTGGTTATGGGAAGATATTTGCTTTTTCACCTTAGGCCTCAAAGCGCTCAAAATATCCCCTTGCACATACTACAAAAAGAGTGCTTCAAAGCTGCTCTCTGAAACGGAATGTTCAACTCTATGGGTTGAATGCAAACATCACAAAGACCTTTCTGAGAATGCTTCTGTCTAGATTTGATATGAAGATATTCCCGTTTCGAACGAAATCTTCAAATCTATCCAAATGTCCACTTGCAGATTCAACAAAAAGTGTTTTTCAGAACTGCTCTATCAAAAGAAAGATCCACCTCTGTTTGCTGAGTTCACACATCACAAACAAGTTTATGAGAATGCTTCTGTCTAGTTTTTATTTGAAGATATTTCCTTTCTCATCATAGACCTGAAAGCTGTCCTATTGTTCACTTCAGATACTACAGAAAGAGTGTTTCAAAACTGCTGTACGAAAGGGAATGTTCAACTCTGTGACTTGAATGCACACATCACAAAGAAGTTTCTGAGGATGCTGCTGTCTACTTTTTATACGTAATCCCGTTTCCAACGAAATCCTCCAAGCTATCCAAATATCCACTTGCAGATTCCACAGAAAGACTGTTTCAAAACTGCTGTGTCAATAGAAAGGTTCAACTCTGTTAGCTGCGTGCATATATCCCAAAGAAGATTCTGAGATTGCTTCTGTCTAGTTTTTATGGGAAGATATTTCCCTTTTCACCGTAGGCGTCAAGGCGCTCCAAATGTCCACTTCCAGATACTACAAAAAGAGTGTTTCAAACCTACTCTGTGAAAGGGAATATTCAAGTCTGTGACTTGAATGCACATATCACAAGGAAGTTTCTGAGAATGTTTCTGTCGAGATTTTATATGAAGATATTCCCGTTTCCAACGAAATTCTGAAATGTATCCAAATATCCCCTCGCAGATTCTACAAAAAGAGTGTTTCAAAACTGCTCTGTAAAAAGAAAGGTTCAACTCTGTTAGTTGAGTACACACATCACAAACAAGTTTCACAGAATGCTTCTTTCTAGCTTGTAGGGGAAGATATTCCCTTTATCACCATGGGCCTCAAAGCGTCCGAAACGTCCACTTCCATATACTACAAAAAGAGCGTTTCAAACCTGCTCTAGGAAAGGCAATGTTCAACTCTGTGACTTGAATGCAGACATCACAGAGCAGTTTCTGAGAATGCTTCTGTCTAGATTTTATAGGAAGATATTCCCGTTTCCAACGAAATCTTCACAGCTATCCAAATATGCACTTGCAGATTCTACAAAAAGAGTGTATCAAAACTGCTCTGTCAAAAGGAAGGTTCTTCTCTGTTAGTTGAGTACATACGTCATAAAGCAGTTTCTGAGAATGTTTCTGTCTAGTGGTTATGGGAAGATATTTGCTTTTTCCCCGTAGGCCTCAGAGCGCTCCAAATATCCACTTGCACATACTACAAAAAGAGTGCTTCAAAGCTGCTCTCTGAAACGGAATGTTCAACTCTATGAGTTGAATGCAAACATCACAAAGACGTTTCTGAGAATGCTTCTGTCTAGATTTGATATGAAGATATTCCCGTTTCCAAGGAAATCTTCAAATCTATCCAAATGTCCACTTGCAGATTCTACAAAAATTGTTTTTCAGAACTGCTCTATCAAAAGAAAGATCCACGTGTGTTAGCTGAGTTCACACATCACAAACAAGTTTATGAGAATGCTTCTGTCTCGTTTTTATTTGAAGATATTTCCTTTCTCACCATAGACCTGAAAGCTGTCATAATGTTCACTTCCAGATACTACAGAAAGAGTGTTTCAAAACTGCTGTACGAAAAGGAATGTTCAACTCTGTGACTTGAATGCACACATCACAAAGAAGTTTCTGAGGATGCTGCTGTCTACTTTGTATACATAATCCCGTTTCCAAAGAAATCCTCCAAGCTATCAAAATATCCACTTGCAGATTCCACTAAAAGACTGTTTCAAAACTGCTCTGTCAATAGAAAGTTTCAACTCTGTTAGCTGGGTGCATACATCCCAAAGAAGATTCTGAGATTGCTTCTGTCTAGTATTTATGGGAAGATATTTCATATTTCCTTTTTCACCGTAGGCGTCAAGGCGCTCCAAATGTCCACTTCCAAATACTACAAAAAGAGTGTTTCAAACCTACTCTGTGAAAGGGAATATTCAACTCTGTGACTTGAGTGCAGGTATCACAAAGAGGTTTCTCAGAATGCTTCTGTCGAGATTTTATATGAAGATATTCCCCTTTCCAACGAAATCCTGAAATCTATCCAAATATCCCCTCGCAGATTCTACAAAAAGAGTGTTTCAAAACTGCTCTGTAAAAAGAAAAGTTCAACTCTGTTAGTTGAGTACACACCTCACAATACAAGTTTCACAGAATGCTTCTTTCTAGCTTGCAGGGGAAGATATTCCCTTTATCACCATGGGCCTCAAACCGTCCGAAAAGTCCACTTCCATATACTACAAAAAGAGCGTTTCAAACCTGCTCTATGAAAGGCAATGTTCAACTCTGTGACTTGAATGCAGACATCACAGAGCAGTTTCTGAGAATGCTTCTGTCTAGATTTTATAGGAAGATATTCCCGTTTCCAACGAAATCTTCACAGCTATCCAAATATCCACTTGCAGATGCTACAAAAAGAGTGTATCAAAACTGCTCTGTCAAAAGCAAGGTTCTTCTCTGTTAGGTGAGTGCATACGTCATAAAGGAGTTTCTGAGAATGTTTCTGTCTAGTGGTTATGGGAAGATATTTGCTTTTTCCCCGTAGGCCTCAGGGCGCTCCAAATGTCCACTTGCACATGCTACAAAAAGAGTGCTTCAAAGCTGCTCTCTGAAAGGGAATGTTCAACTCTATGAGTTGAATGCAAACATCACAAAGACGTTTCTGAGAATGCTTCTGTCTAGATTTGATATGAAGATATTCCCGTTTCCAACGAAATCTTCAAATCTATCCAAATCTCCACTTGCAGATTCAACAAAAAGTGTTTTTCAGAACTGCTCTATCAAAAGAAAGATCCACCTCTGTTAGCTGAGTTCACACATCACAAACAAGTTTATGAGAATGCTTCTGTCTAGTTTTTATTTGAAGATATTGCCTTTCTCACCATAGACCTGAAAGCTGTACTAATGTTCACTTCCAGATACTACAGAAAGAGTGTTTCAAAACTGCTGTACGAAAGGGAATGTTCAACTCTGTGACTTGAATGCACACATCACAAAGAAGTTTCTGAGGAGGCTGCTGTCTACTTTTTATACGTAATCCCGTTTCCAACGAAATCCTCCAAGCTATCCAAATATCCACTTGCAGATTCCACAGAAAGACTGTTTCAAAACTGCTCTGTTAATAGAAAGGTTCAACTCTGTTAGCTGCGTGCATATATCCCAAAGAAGATTCTGAGATTGCTTCTGTCTAGTTTTTATGGGAAGATATTTCCCTTTTCACCGTAGGCGTCAAGGCGCTCCAAATGTCCACTTCCAGATACTACAAAAAGAGTGTTTCAAACCTACTCTGTGAAAGGGAATATTCAACTCTGTGACTTGAATGCACATGTCACAAAGAAGTTTCTGAGAATGCTTCTGTCGAGATTTTATAGGAAGATATTCCCGTTTCCAACGAAATCCTGAAATCTATCAAAATATCCCCTCGCAGATTCTACAAAAAGAGTGTTTCAAAACTGCTCTGTAAAAAGAAAGGTTCAACTCTGTTAGTTGAGTACACACATCACAAACAAGTTTCACAGAATGCTTCTTTCTAGCTTGTAGGGGAAGATATTCCCTTTATCACCATGGGCCTCAAACCGTCCGAATCGTCCACTTCCATATACTACAAAAAGAGCGTTTCAAACCTGCTCTAGGAAAGGCAATGTTCAACTCTGTGACTTGAATGCAGACATCACAGAGCAGTTTCTGAGAATGCTTCTGTCTAGATTTTATAGGAAGATATTCCCGTTTCCAACGAAATCTTCACAGCTACCCAAATATCCACTTGCAGATTCTACAAAAAGAGTGTATCAAAACTGCTCTGTCAAAAGGAAGGTTCTTTTCTGTTAGTTGAGTGCATACGTCATAAAGGAGTTTCTGAGAATGTTTCTGTCTAGTGGTTATGGGAAGATATTTGCATTTTCACCGTAGGCCTCAGAGCGCTCCAAATATCCACTTGCACATACTACAAAAAGAGTGCCTCAAAGCTGCTCTCTGAAAGGGAATGTTCAACTCTATGAGTTGAATGCAAACATCACAAAGACGTTTCTGAGAATGCTTCTGTCTAGATTTGATATGAAGATGTTCCCGTTTCCAACGAAATCTTCAAATCTATCCAAATGTCCACTTGCAGATTCAACAAAAAGTGTTTTTCAGAACTGCTCTATCAAAAGAAAGATCCACCTCTGTTAGCTGAGTTCACACATCACAAACAAGTTTATGAGAATGCTTCTGTCTAGTTTTTATTTGAAGATATTTCGTTTCTCACCATAGAGCTGAAAGCTGTCCTAATGTTCACTTCCAGATACTACAGAGTGTTTCAAAACTGCTGTACGAAAGGGAATGTTCAACTCTGTGAATTGAATGCACACATCACAAGGAAGTTTCTGAGGATGCTGCTGTGTACTTTTTATACGTAATCCCGTTTCCAACGAAATCCTCCAATCTATCCAAATATCCACTTGCAGATTCCACAGAAAGACTGTTTCAAATCTGCTCAGTCAATAGAAAGGTTCAACTCTGTTAGCTGCGTGCATATATCACAAAGAAGATTGCTGAGATTGCTTCTGTCTAGTTTTGATGGGAAGATATTTCCCTTTTCACCGTAGGCGTCAAGGCGCTCCAAATGTCCACTTCCAGATACTACAAAAAGAGTGTTTCAAACCTACTCTGTGAAAGGGAATATTCAACTCTGTGACTTGAATGCACATATCACAAAGAAGTTTCTGAGAATGCTTCTGTCGAGATTTTATATGAAGATATTCCCGTTTCCAACGAAATTCTGAAATCTATCCAAATATCCCCTCGCAGATTCTACAAAAAGAGTGTTTCAAAACTGCTCTGTAAAAAGAAAAGTTCAACTCTGTTAGTTGAGTACACACATCACAAACAAGTTTCACAGAATGCTTCTTTCTAGCTTGTAGGGGAAGATATTCCCTTTATCACCATGGGCCTCAAACTGTCTGAAACGTCCACTTCCATATACTACAAAAAGAGCATTTCAAACCTGCTCTATGAAAGGCAATGTTCAACTCTGTGACTTGAATGCAGACATCACAGAGCAGTTTCTGAGAATGCTTCTGTCTAGATTTTATAGGAAGATATTCCCGTTTCCAACGAAATCTTCACAGCTATACAAATATCCACTTGCAGATTCTACAAAAAGAGTGTATCAAAACTGCTCTGTCAAAAGGAAGGTTCTTCTCTGTTAGTTGAGTACATACGTCATAAAGGAGTTTCTGAGAATGTTTCTGTCTAGTGGTTATGGGAAGATATTTGCTTTTTCACCGTAGGCCTCAGAGCGCTCCAAATATCCACTTGCACATACTACAAAAAGAGTGCTTCAAAGCTGCTCTCTGAAAGGGAATGTTCCACTCTATGAGTTGAATGCAAACATCACAAAGACGTTTCTGAGAATGCTTCTGTCTAGATTTGATATTGAAGATATTCCCGTTTCCAACGAAATCTTCAAATCTATCCAAATGTCCACTTGCAGATTCAACAAAAAGTGTTTTTCAGAACTGCTCTATCAAAAGAAAGATCCACCTCTGTTAGCTGAGTTCACACATCACAAACAAGTTTATGAGAATGCTTCTGTCTAGTTTTTATTTGAAGATATTTCCTTTCTCACCATAGAGCTGAAAGCTGTCCTAATGTTCACTTCCAGATACTACAGAAAGAGTGTTTCAAAACTGCTGTACGAAAGGGAATGTTCAACTCTGTGACTTGAATGCACACATCACAAAGAAGTTTCTGAGGATGTTGCTGTCTACTTTTTATACGTAATCCCGTTTCCAACGAAATCCTCCAAGGTATCCAAATATCCACTTGCAGATTCCACAGAAAGACTGTTTCAAAACTGCTCTGTCAATGGAAAGGTTCAACTCTGTTAGCTGCGTGCATATATCCCAAAGAAGATTCTGAGATTGCTTCTGTCTAGTTTTTATGGGAAGATATTTCCCTTTTCACCGTAGGCGTCAAGGCGCTCCAAATGTCCACTTCCAGATACTACAAAAGGAGTGTTTCAAACCTACTCTGTGAAAGTGAATATTCAACTCTGTGACTTGAATGCACATATCACAAAGAAGTTTCTGAGAATGCTTCTGTCGAGATTTTCTATAAAGATATTCCCGTTTCCAACGAAATCCTGAAATCTATCCAAATATCCCCTCGCAGATTCTACAAAAAGAGTGTTTCAAAACTGCTCTGTAAAAAGAAAGGTTCAACTCTGTTACTTCAGTACACACATCACAAACAAGTTTCACAGAATGCTTCTTTCTAGCTTGTAGGGGAAGATATTCCCTTTATCACCATGGGCCTCAAACCGTCCGAAACGTCCACTTCCATATACTACAAAAAGAGCGTTTCAAACCTGCTCTAGGAAAGGCAATGTTCAACTGCTGTGACTTGAATGCAGACATCACAGAGCAGTTTCTGAGAATGCTTCTGTCTAGATTTTGTAGGAAGATATTCCCGTTTCCAACGAAATCTTCACAGCTATCCAAATATCCACTTGCAGATTCCACAAAAAGAGTGTATCAAAACTGCTCTGTCAAAAGGAAGGTTCTTTTCTGTTAGGTGAGTGCATACGTCATAAAGGAGTTTCTGAGAATGTTTCTGTCTAGTGGTTATGGGAAGATATTTGATTTTTCACCTTAGGCCTCAGAGCGCTCCAAATATCCCCTTGCACATACTACAAAAAGAGTGCTTCAAAGCTGCTCTCTGAAAGGGAATGTTCAACTCTATGGGTTGAATGCAAACATCACAAAGACATTTCTGAGAATGCTTCTGTCTAGATTTGAAATGAAGTTATTCCCGTTTCCAACGAAATCTTCAAATCTATCCAAATGTCCACTTGCAGATTCAACAAAAAGTGTTTTTCAGAACTGCTCTATCAAAAGAAAGATCCACGTCTCTTAGCTGAGTTCACACATCACAAAGAAGTTTATGAGAATGCTTCTGTCTAGTTTTTATTTGAAGATATTTCCTTTCTCACCATAGACCTGAAAGCTGTCCTAATGTTCACTTCCAGATACTACAGAAAGAGTGTTTCAACACTGCTGTACGAAAGGGAATGTTCAACTCTGTGACTTGAATGCACACATCACAAAGAAGATTCTGAGGATGCTGCTGTCTACTTTTTATACTTAATCCCGTTTCCAACGAAATCCTCCAAGCTATCCAAATATCCACTTGCAGATTCCACAGAAAGACTGTTTCAAAACTGCTCTGTCAATAGAAAGGTTCAACTCTGTTAGCTGCGTGCATATATCCCAAAGAAGATTCTGAGATTACTTCTGTCTAGTTTTTATGGGAAGATATTTCCCTTTTCACCGTAGGCGTCAAGGCGCTCCAAATGTCCACTTCCAGATACTACAAAAAGAGTGTTTCAAACCTACTCTGTGAAAGGGAATATTCAACTCTGTGACTTGAATGCACATATTACAAAGAAGTTTCTGAGAATGCTTCTGTCGAGATTTTATATGAAGATATTCCCGTTTCCAACGAAATCCTGAAATCTATCCAAATATCCCCTCGCAGATTCTACAAAAAGAGTGTTTCAAAACTGCTCTGTAAAAAGAAAGGTTCAACTCTCTTAGTTGAGTACACACATCACAAACAAGTTTCACACAATGCTTCTTTCTAGCTTGTAGGGGAAGATATTCCCTTTATCACCATGGGCCTCAAACCGTCCGAAAAGTCCACTTCCATATACTACAAAAAGAGCGTTTCAAACCTGCTCTATGAAAGGCAATGTTCAACTCTGTGACTTGAATGCAGACATCACAGAGCAGTTTCTGAGAATGCTTCTGTCTAGATTTTATAGGAAGATATTCCAGTTTCCAACGAAATCTTCACAGCTATCCAAATATCCACTTGCAGATTCTACAAAAAGAGTGTATCAAAACTGCTCTGTCAAAAGGAAGGTTCTTCTCTGTTAGGTGAGTGCATACGTCATAAAGGAGTTTCTGAGAATGTTTCTGTCTAGTGGTTATGGGAAGATATTTGCTTTTTCCCCGTATGCCTCAGGGCCCTCCAAATGTCCACTTGCACATGCTACAAAAAGAGTGCTTCAAAGCTGCTCTCTGAAAGGGAATGTTCAACTCTATGAGTTGAATGCAAACATCACAAAGACGTTTCTGAGAATGCTTCTGTCTAGATTTGATATGAAGATATTCCCGTTTCCAACGAAATCTTCAAATCTATCCAAATGTCCACTTGCAGATTCAACAAAAAATGTTTTTCAGAACTGCTCTATCAAAAGAAAGATCCACCTCTGTTAGCTGAGTTCACACATCACAAACAAGTTAATGAGAATGCTTCTGTCTAGTTTTTATTTGAAGATATATCCTTTCTCACTATAGACCTGAAAGCTCTCCTAAAGTTCACTTCCAGATACTACAGAAAGAGTGTTTCAAAACTGCTGTACGAACGGGAATGTTCAACTCTGTGACTGGAATGCACACATCACAAGGATGTTTCTGAGGATGCTGCTGTCTACTTTTTATACGTAATCCCGTTTCCAACGAAATCCTCCAAGCTATCCAAATATCCACTTGCAGATTCCACAGAAAGACTGTTTCAAAACTGCTCTGTCAATAGAAAGGTTCAACTCTATTAGCTGCGTACATATATCCCAAAGAAGATTCTGAGATTGCTTCTGTCTAGTTTTTATGGGAAGATATTTCCCTTTTCACCGTAGGTGTCAAGGCGCTCCAAATGTCCACTTCCAGATACTACAAAAAGAGTGTTTCAAACCTACTCGGTGAAAGGGAATATTCAACTCTGTGACTTGAATGCACATATCACAAAGAAGTTTCTGAGAATGCTTCTGTCGAGAATTTTATATTAAGATATTCCCGTTTCCAACAAAATCCTGAAATCTATCCAAATATCCCCTCGCAGATTCTACAAGAAGAGTGTTTCAAAACTGCTCTGTAAAAAGAAAGGTTCAACTCTGTTAGTTGAGTACACACATCACAAACAAGTTTCACAGAATGCTTCTTTCTAGCTTGTAGGGGATGATATTCCCTTCATCACCATGGGCCTCAAAACGTCCGAAACGTCCACTTCCATATACTACAAAAAGAGCGTTTCAAACCTGCTCTAGGAAAGGCAATGTTCAACTCTGTGACTTGAATGCAGACATCACAGAGCAGTTCCTGAGAATGCTTCTGTGTAGATTTTATAGGAAGATATTCCCGTTTCCAACGAAATCTTCACAGCTATCCAAATATCCACTTGCAGATTCTACAAAAAGAGTGTATCAAAACTGCTCTGTCAAAAGGAAGGTTCTTCTCTGTTAGGTGAGTGCATACGTCATAAAGGAGTTTCTGAGAATGTTTCTGTCTAGTGGTTATGGGAAGATATTTGCTTTTTCACCGTAGGCCTCAGAGCGCTCCAAATATCCACTTGCACATACTACAAAAAGAGTGCCTCAAAGCTGCTCTCTGAAACGGAATGTTCAACTCTATGAGTTGAATGCAAACATCACAGAGACGTTTCTGAGAATGCTTCTGTCTAGCATTTGATATGAAGATATTCCCGTTTCCAACGAAATCTTCAAATCTATCCAAATGTCCACTTGCAGATTCAACAAAAAGTGTTTTTCAGAACTGCTCTATCAAAAGAAAGATCCACCTCTGTTAGCTGAGTTCACACATCACAAACAAGTTTATGAGAATGCTTCTGTCTAGTTTTTATTTGAAGATATTTCCTTTCTCACCATAGACCTGAAAGCTGTCCTAATGTTCACTTCCAGATACTACAGAAAGAGTGTTTCAAAACTGCTGTACGAAAGGGAATGTTCAACTTTGTGACTTGAATGCCCACATCACAAAGATGTTTCTGAGGATGCTGCTGTCTTCTTTTTATACGTAATCCCGTTTCCAACGAAATCCTCCAAGCTATCCAAATATCCACTTGCAGATTCCACAGAAAGACTGTTTCAAAACTGCTCTGTCAATAGAAAGGTTCAACTCTGTTAGCTGCGTGCATATATCCCAAAGAAGATTCTGAGATTGCTTCTGTCTACTTTTTATGAGAAGATATTTCCCTTTTCACCGTAGGCGTCAAGGCGCTCCAAATGTCCACTTCCAGATACTACAAAAAGAGTGTTTCAAACCTACTCTGTGAAAGGGAATATTCAACTCTGTGACTTGAATGCACATATCACAAAGAAGCTTCTGAGAATGCTTCTGTCGAGATTTTATATGAAGATAATCCCCTTTCCAACGAAATCCTGAAATCTATCCAAATATCCCCTCGCAGATTCTACAAAAAGAGTGTTTCAAAACTGCTCTGTAAAAAGAAAGGTTCAACTCTGTTAGTTGAGTACACACATCACAAACAAGTTTCACAGAATGCTTCTTTCTAGCTTGTAGGGGAAGATATTCCCTTTATCACCATGGGCCTCAAACCGTCCGAAACGTCCACTTCCATATAGTACAAAAAGAACGCTTCAAACCTGCTCTATGAAAGACAATGTTCAACTCTGTGACTTGAATGCAGACATCACAGAGCAGTTTCTGAGAATGCTTCTGTCTAGATTTTATAGGAAGATATTCCCGTTTCCAACGAAATCTTCACAGCTATCCAAATATCCACTTGCAGATTCTACAAAAAGAGTGTATCAAAACTGCTCTGTCAAAAGGAAGGTTCTTCTCTTTTAGGTGAGTGCATACGTCATAAAGGAGTTTCTGAGAATGTTTCTGTCTAGTGGTTATGGGAAGATATTTGCTTTTTCACCGAAGGCCTCAGAGCGCTCCAAATATCCACTTGCACATACTACAAAAAGAGTGCCTCAAAGCTGCTCTCTGAAACGGAATGTTCAACTCTATGAGTTGAATGCAAACATCGCAAAGACGTTTCTGAGAATGCTTCTGTCTAGATTTGATATGAAGATATTCCCGTTTCCAACGAAATCTTCAAATCTATCCAAATGTCCACTTGCAGATTCAACAAAGTGTTTTTCAGAATTGCTCTATCAAAGGAAAGATCCACCTCTGTTAGCTGAGTTCACACTTCACAAACAAGTTTATCAGAATGCTTCTGTCCAGTTTTTATTTGAAGATATTTCCTTTCTCACCATAGACCTGAAAGCTGTCCTAATGTTCACTTCCAGATACTACAGAAAGAGTGTTTCAAAACTGCTGTACGAAAGGGAATGTTCAACTCTGTGACTTGAATGCACACATCACAAAGAAGTTTCTGAGGATGCTGCTGGCTACTTTTTATACGTAATCCCGTTTCCAACGAAATCCTCCAAGCTATCCAAATATCCACTTGCAGATTCCACAGAAAGACTGTTTCAAAACTGCTCTGTCAATAGAAAGGTTCAACTCTGTTAGCTGCGTGCATATATCCCAAAGAAGATTCTGAGATTGCTTCTGTCTAGTTTTTATGGGAAGATATTTCCCTTTTCACCGTAGGTGTCAAGGCGCTCCAAATGTCCACTTACAGATACTACAAAAAGAGTGTTTCAAACCTACTCTGTGAAAGGGAATATTCAACTGTGTGACTTGAATGCAGATATCACAATGAAGTTTCTGAGAATGCTTCTGTCGACATTTTATATGAAGATATTCCCGTTTCCAAGGAAATCCTGAAATGTATCCAAATATCCCCTCGCAGATTCTACAAAAAGAGTGTTTCAAAACTGCTCTGTAAAAAGAAAGGTTCAACTCTGTTAGTTGAGTACACACATCACAAACAAGTTTCACACAATGCTTCTTTCTAGCTTGTAGGGGAAGATATTCCCTTTATCACCATGGGCCTCAAACCGACCGAAACTTCCACTTCCATATACTACAAAAAGAGCGTTTCAAACCTGCTCTATGAAAGGCAATGTTCAACTCTGTGACTTGAATGCAGACATCACAGAGCAGTTTCTGAGAATGCTTCTGTCTAGATTTTATAGGAAGATATTCCCGTTTCCAACGAAATCTTCACAGCTATCCAAATATCCACTTGCAGATTCTACAAAAAGAGTGTATCAAAACTGCTCTGTCAAAAGGAAGGTTCTTCTACTGTTAGGTGAGTGCATACGTCATAAAGGAGTTTCTGAGAATGTTTCTGTCTAGTGGTTATGGGAAGATATTTGCTTTTTCACCGTAGGCCTCAGAGCGCTCCAAATATCCACTTGCACATACTACAAAAAGAGTGCTTCAAAGCTGCTCTCTGAAAGGGAATGTTCAACTCTATGAGTTGAATGCAAACATCACAAAGACGTTTCTGAGAATGCTTCTGTCTAGATTTGATATGAAGATATTCCCGTTTCCAACGAAATCTTCAAATCTATCCAAAGGTCCACTTGCAGATTCAACAAAAAGTGTTTTTCAGAACTGCTCTATCAAAAGAAAGATCCACCTCTGTTAGCTGAGTTCACACATCACAAACAAGTTTATGAGAATGCTTCTGTGTAGTTTTTATTTGAAGATATTTCCTTTCTCACCATAGACCTGAATGCTGTCCTAATGTTCACTTCCAGATACTACAGAAAGAGTTTTTCAAAACTGCTGTACGAAAAGGAATATTCAACTCTGTGACTTGAATGCACACATCACAAAGAAGTTTCTGAGGATGCTGCTGTCTACTTTTTATACCTAATCCCGTTTCCAACGAAATCCTCCAAGCTATCCAAATATCCACTTGCAGATTCCACAGAAAGACTGTTTCAAAACTGCTCTGTCAATAGAAAGGTTCAACTCTGTTAGCTGCGTGCATATATCCCAAAGAAGATTCTGAGATTGTTTCTGTCTAGTTTTTATGGGAAGATATTTCCCTTTTCACCATAGGTGTCAAGGCGCTCAAAATGTCCACTTCCAGATACTACAAAAAGAGTGTTTCAAACCTACTCTGTGAAAGGGAATATTCAACTCTGTGACTTGAATGCAGACATCACAGAGCAGTTTCTGAGAATGCTTCTGTCGAGATTTTATATTAAGATATTCCCGTTTCCAACGAAATCCTGAAATCTATCCAAATATCCCCTCGCAGATTCTACAAAAAGAGTATTTCAAAACTGCTCTGTAAAAAGAAAGGTTCAACTCTGTTAGTTGAGTACACACATCACAAACAAGTTTCACAGAATGCTTCTTTCTAGCTTTGTAGGGGAAGATATTCCCTTTATCACCATGGGCCTCAAACCGTCCGAAAAGTCCACTTCCATATACTACAAAAAGAGCGTTTCAAACCTGCTCTATGAAAGGCAATGTTCAACTCTGTGACTTGAATGCAGACATCACAGAGCAGTTTCTGAGAATGCTTCTGTCTAGATTTTATAGGAAGATATTCCCGTTTCCAACGAAATCTTCACAGCTATCCAAATATCCACTTTCAGATTCTACAAAAAGAGTGTATCAAAAGTGCTCTGTCAAAAGGAAGGTTCTTCTCTGTTAGGTGAGTGCATACGTCATAAAGGAGTTTCTGAGAATGTTTCTGTCTAGTGGTTATGGGAAGATATTTGCTTTTTCCCCGTAGGCCTCAGAGCGCTCCAAATATCTACTTGCACATACTACAAAAAGAGTGCTTCAAAGCTACTCTCTGAAAGGGAATGTTCAACTCCATGAGTTTAATTGAAACATCACAAAGACGTTTCTGAGAATGCTTCTGTCTAGATTTGATATGAAGATATTCCCGTTTCCAACGAAATCTTCAAATCTATCCAAATGTCCTCTTGCAGATTCAACAAAAAGGGTTTTTCAGAACTGCTCTATCAAAAGAAAGATCCACGTGTGTTAGCTGAGTTCACACATCACGAACAAGTTTATGAGAATGCTTCTGTCTAGTTTTTATTTGAAGATATATCCTTTCTCACTATATACCTGAAAGCTCTCTTAAAGTTCACTTCCAGATACTACAGAAAGAGTGTTTCAAAACTGCTGTATGAAAGGGAATGTTCAACTCTGTGACTTGAATGCACACATCACAAAGAAGTTTCTGAGGATGCTGCTGTCTACTTTTTATACGTAATCCCGTTTCCAACGAAATCCTCCAAGCTATCCAAATATCCACTTGCAGATTCCACAGAAAGACTGTTTCAAAACTGCTCTGTCAATAGAAAGGTTCAACTCTATTAGCTGCGTACATATATCCCAAAGAAGATTCTGAAATTGCTTCTGTCTAGTTTTTATGGGAAGATATTTCCCTTTTCACCGTAGGCGTCAAGGCGCTCCAAATGTCCACTTCCAGATACTACAAAAAGAGTGTTTCAAACCTACTCTGTGAAAGGAAATATTCAACTCTGTGACTTGAATGCACATATCACAAGGAAGTTTCTGAGAATGCTTCTGTCGAGATTTTATATGAAGATATTCCCGTTTCCAACGAAATCCTGAAATCTATCCAAATATCCCCTCGCAGATTCTTCAAAAAGAGTGTTTCAATACTGCTCTGTAAAAAGAAAGGTTCAAGTCTGTTAGTTGAGTACACACATCACAAACAAGTTTCACAGAATGCTTCTTTCTAGCTTGTAGGGGAAGATATTCCCTTTATCACCATGGGCCTCAAACCGTCCGAAACGTCCACTTCCATATACTACAAAAAGAGTGTTTCAAACCTGCTCTATGAAAGGCAATGTTCAACTCTGTGACTTGAATGCAGACATCACAGAGCACTTTCTGAGAATGCTTCTGTCTAGATTTTATAGGAAGATATTCCCGTTTCCAACGAAATCTTCACAGCTATCCAAATATCCACTTGCAGATTCTACAAAAAGAGTGTATCAAAACTGCTCTGTCAAAAGGAAGGTTCTTCTCTGTTAGGTGTGTGCATACGTTTAAAGGAGTTTCTGAGAATGTTTCTGTCTAGTGGTTATGGGAAGATATTTGCTTTTTCCCCGTAGGCCTCAGGGCCCTCCAAATGTCCACTTGCACATGCTACAAAAAGAGTGCTTCAAAGCCGCTCTCTGAAAGGGAATGTTCAACTCTATGAGTTGAATGCAAACATCACAAAGACGTTTCTGAGAATGCTTCTGTCTAGATTTGATATGAAGATATTCCCGTTTCCAACGAAATCTTCAAATCTATCCAAATGTCCACTTGCAGATTCAACAAAAAGTGTTTTTCAGAACTGCTCTATCAAAAGAAAGATCCACCTCTGTTAGCTCAGTTCACACATCACAAACAAGTTTATGAGAATGCTTCTGTCTAGTTTTTATTTGAAGATATTTCCTTTCTCACCATAGACCTGAAAGCTGTCCTAATGTTCACTTCCAGATACTACAGAAAGAGTGTTTCAAAACTGCTGTACGAAAGGGAATGTTCAACTCTGTGACTTGAATGCACACATCACAAGGAAGTTTCTGAGGATGCTGCTGTGTACTTTTTATACGTAATCCCGTTTCCAACGAAATCCTCCAAGCTATCCAAATATCCACTTGCAGATTCCACAGAAAGACTGTTTCAAAACTGCTATGTCAATAGAAAGGTTCAACTCTGTTAGCTGCGTGCATATATCCCAAAGAAGATTCTGAGATTGCTTCTGTCTACTTTTTATGAGAAGATATTTCCCTTTTCACCGTAGGCGTCAAGGCGCTCCAAATGTCCACTTCCAGATACTACAAAAAGAGTGCTTCAAACCTACTCTGTGAAAGGGAATATTCAACTCTGTGACTTGAATGCACATATCACAAAGAAGCTTCTGAGAATGCTTCTGTCGAGATTTTATATGAAGATATTCCCGTTTCCAACGAAATCCTGAAATGTATCCAAATATCCCCTCGCAGATTCTACACAAAGAGTGTTTCAAAACTGCTCTGTAAAAACAAACGTTCAACTCTGTTAGTTGAGTACACACATCACAAACAAGTTTCACACAATGCTTCTTTCTAGCTTGTAGCGGAAGATATTCCCTTTATCACCATGGGCCTCCAACCGTCCGAAACATCCACTTCCATATACTACAAAAAGAGCGTTTCAAACCTGCTCTATGAAAGGCAATGTTCAACTCTGTGACTTGAATGCAGACATCACAGAGCAGTTTCTGAGAATGCTTCTGTCTAGATTTTATAGGAAGATATTCCCGTTTCCAACGAAATCTTCACAGCTATCCAAATATCCACTTGCAGATTCTACAAAAAGAGTGTATCAAAACTGCTCTGTCAAAAGAAAGGTTCTTCTCTGTTAGGTGAGTGCATACGTCATAAAGGAGTTTCTGAGAATGTTTCTGTCTAGTGGTTATGGGAAGATATTTGCTTTTTCACCGTAGGCCTCAGAGCGCTCCAAATATCCACTTGCACATACTACAAAAAGAGTGCCTCAAAGCTGTTCTCTGAAACGGAATGTTCAACTCTATGAGTTGAATGCAAACATCGCAAAGACGTTTCTGAGAATGCTTCTGTCTAGATTTGATATGAAGATATTCCCGTTTCCAAGGAAATCTTCAAATCTATCCAAATGTCCACTTGCAGATTCAACAAAAATTGTTTTTCAGAACTGCTCTATCAAAAGAAAGATCCACGTGTGTTAGCTGAGTTCACACATCACAAACAAGTTTATGAGAATGCTTCTGTCTAGTTTTTATTTGAAGATATTTCCTTTCTCACCATAGACCTGAAAGCTGTCCTAATGTTCACTTCCAGATACTGCAGAAAGAGTGTTTCAAAACTGTTGTACGAAAGGGAATGTTCAACTCTGTGACTTGAATGCACACATCACAAAGAAGTTTCTGAGGATGCTGCTGTCTACTTTTTATACGTAATCTCGTTTCCAAAGAAATCCTCCTAGCTATCCAAATATCCACTTGCAGATTCCACAGAAAGACTGTTTCAAAACTGCTCTGTCAATAGAAAGGTTCAACTCTGTTAGCTGCGTGCATATATCCCAAAGAAGATTCTGAGATTGCTTCTGTCTAGTTTTTATGGGAAGATATTTCCCTTTTCACCGTAGGCGTCAAGGCGCTCCAAATGTCCACTTCCAGATACTACAAAAAGAGTGTTTCAAACCTACTCTGTGAAAGGGAATATTCAACTCTGTGACTTGAATGCACATATCACAAAGAAGTTTCTGAGAATGCTTCTGTCGAGATTTTATATGAAGATATTCCCGTTTCCAACGAAATGCTGAAATCTATCCAAATATCCCCTCGCAGATTCTACAAAAAGAGTGTTTCAAAACTGCTCTTTAAAAAGAAAGGTTCAACTCTGTTAGTTGAGTACACACATCACAAACAAGTTTCACAGAATGCTTCTTTCTAGCTTGTAGGGGAAGATATTCCCTTTATCACCATGGGCCTCAAACCGTCCGATAAGTCCACTTCCATATACTACAAAAAGAGCGTTTCAAACCTGCTCTATGAAAGGCAATGTTCAACTCTGTGACTTGAATGCAGACATCACAGAGCAGTTTCTGAGAATGCTTCTGTCTAGATTTTATAGGAAGATATTCCCGTTTCCAACGAAATCTTCACAGCTATCCAAGTATCCACTTGCAGATTCTACAAAAAGAGTGTATCAAAACTGCTCTTTCAAAAGGAAGGTTCTTCTCTGTTAGGTGAGTGCATACGTCATAAAGGAGTTTCTGAGAATGTTTCTGTCTAGTGGTTATGGGAAGATATTTGCTTTTTCACCGTAGGCCTCAGAGGCGCTCCAAATATCCACTTGCACATACTACAAAAAGAGTGCCTCAAAGCTGCTCTCTGAAACGGAATGTTCAACTCTATGAGTTGAATGCAAACATCACAAAGACGTTTCTGAGAATGCTTCTGTCTAGATTTGATATGAAGGTATTCCCGTTTCCAAAGAAATCTTCAAATCTATCCAAATGTCCACTTGCAGATTCAACAAAAAGTGTTTTTCAGAACTGCTCTATCAAAAGAAAGATCCACCTCTGTTAGCTGAGTTAACACATCACAAACAAGTTTATGAGAATGCTTCTGTCTAGTTTTTATTTGAAGATATTTCCTTTCTCACCATAGACCTGAAAGCTGTCCTAAAGTTCACTTCCAGTTACTACAGAAAGAGTGTTTCAAAACTGCTGTACGAAAGGGAATGTTCAACTCTGTGACTTGAATGCACACATCACAAAGAAGTTTCTGAGGATGCTGCTGTCTACTTTTTATACTTAATCCCGTTTCCAACGAAATCCTCCAAGCTATCCAAATATCCACTTGCAGATTCCACAGAAAGACTGTTTCAAAACTGCTCTGCCAATAGAAAGGTTCAACTCTGTTAGCTGCGTGCATATATCCCAAAGAAGATTCTGAGATTGCTTCTGTCTAGTTTTTATGGGAAGATATTTCCCTTTTCACCGTAGGCGTCAAAGCGCTCCAAATGCCCACTTCCAGACACTACAAAAAGAGTGTTTCAAACCTACTCTGTGAAAGGGAATATTCAACTCTGTGACTTGAATGCAGATATCACAAAGAAGTTTCTGAGAATGCTTCTGTCGAGATTTTATATGAAGATATTCCCCTTTCCAACGAAATCCTGAAATCTATCCAAATATCCCCTCGCAGATTCTACAAAAAGAGTGTTTCAAAACTGCTCTGTAAAAAGAAAGGTTCAACTCTGTTAGTTGAGTACACACATCACAAACAAGTTTCACAGAATGCTTCTTTCTAGCTTGTAGGGGAAGATATTCCCTTTATCACCATGGGCCTCAAACCGTCCGAAACGTCCACTTCCATATGCTACAAAAAGAGTGTTTCAAACCTGCTCTATGAAAGGCAATGTTCAACTCTGTGAGTTGAATGCAGACATCACAGAGCAGTTTCTGAGAATGCTTCTGTCTAGATTTTATAGGAAGATATTCCCGTTTCCAACGAAATCTTCACAGCTATCCAAATATCCACTTGCAGATTCTGCAAAAAGAGTGTATCAAAACTGCTCTGTCAAAAGGAAGGTTCTTCTCTGTTAGTTGAGTACATACTTCATAAAGGAGTTTCTGAGAATGTTTCTGTCTAGTGGTTATGGGAAGATATTTGCTTTTTCACCGTAGGCCTCAGAGCGCTCCAAATATCCACTTGCACATACTACAAAAAGAGTGCTTCAAAGCTGGTCTCTGAAACGGAATGTTCAACTCTATGAGTTGAATGCAAACATCACAAAGACGTTTCTGAGAATGCTTCTTTCTAGATTTGATATGACGATATTCCCGTTTCCAACGAAATCTTCAAATCTATCCAAATGTCCACTTGCAGATTCAACAAAACGTGTTTTTCAGAACTGCTCTATCAAAAGAAAGATCCACCTCTGTTAGCTGAGTTCACACATCACAAACAAGTTTATGAGAATGCTTCTGTCTAGTTTTTATTTGAAGATATTTCCTTTCTCACCATAGACCTGAAAGCTGTCCTAATGTTCACTTCCAGATACTACAGAAAGAGTGTTTCATAACTGCTGTACGAAAGGGAATGTTCAACTCTGTGACTTGAATGCACACATCACAAAGAAGTTTCTGAGGATGCTGCTGTCTAATTTTTATACGTAATCCCGTTTCCAACGAAATCCTCCAAGCTATCCAAATATCCACTTGCAGATTCCACAGAAAGACTGTTTCAAAACTGCTCTGTCAATAGAAAGGTTCAACTCTGTTAGCAGCGTGCATATATCCCAAAGAAGATTCTGAGATTGCTTCTGTCTACTTTTTATGAGAAGATATTTCCCTTTTCACCGTAGGCGTCAAGGCGCTCCAAATGTCCACTTCCAGATACTACAAAAAGAGTGTTTCAAACCTACTCTGTGAAAGGGAATATTGAACTCTGTGACTTGAATGCACATATCACAAAGAAGCTTCTGAGAATGCTTCTGTCGAGATTTTATATGAAGATATTCCCGTTTCCAAAGAAATCCTGAAATCTATCCAAATATCCCCTCGCAGATTCTACAAAAATAGTGTTTCAAAACTGCTCTGTAAAAAGAAAGGTTCAACTCTGTTAGTTGAGTACACACATCACAAACAAGTTTCACAGAATGCTTCTTTCTAGCTTGTAGGGGAAGATATTCCCTTTATCACCATGGGCCTCCAACCGTCCGAAACATCCACTTCCATATACTACACAAAGAGCGTTTCAAACCTGCTCTATGAAAGGCAATGTTCAACTCTGTGACTTGAATACAGACATCACAGAGCAGTTTCTGAGAATGCTTCTGTCTAGATTTTATAGGAAGATATTCCCTGTTTCCAACGAAATCTTCACAGCTATCCAAATATCCACTTGCAGATTCTACAAAAAGAGTGTATCAAAACTGCTCTGTCAAAAGGAAGGTTCTTCTCTGTTAGGTGAGTGCATACATCATAAAGGAGTTTCTGAGAATGTTTCTGTCTAGTGGTTACGGGAAGATATTTGCTTTTTCCCCGTAGGGCTCAAAGCGCTCCAAATGTCCACTTGCACATACTACAAAAACAGTGCTTCAAAGCTGCTCTCTGAAAGGGAATGTTCAACTCTATGAGTTGAATGCAAACATCACAAAGACGTTTCTGAGAATGCTTCTGTCTAGATTTGAAATGAACATATTCCCGTTTTCAACGAAATCTTCAAATCTATCCAAATGTCTACTTGCAGATTCAACAAAAAGTGTTTTTCAAAACTGCTGTGTCGAAAGAAAGATCCAACTCTGTTAGCTGAGTTCACACTTCACAAACAAGTTTATCAGAATGCTTCTGTCTAGTTTTTATTTGAAGATATTTCCTTTCTCACCATAGACCTGAAAGCTGTCCTAATGTTCACTTCCAGATACTACAGAAAGAGTGTTTCAAAACTGCTGTACGAAAGGGAATGTTCAACTCTGTGACTTGAATACACACATCACAAAGAAGTTTCTGAGGAGGCTGCAGTCTACTTTTTATACGTAATCCCGTTTCTAAAGAAAACCTCCAAGCTATCCAAATATCCACTTGCAGATTCCACAGAAAGACTGTTTCAAAACTGCTCTGTCAATAGAAAGGTTCAACTCTGTTAGCTGCGTGCATATATCCCAAAGAAGATTCTGAGATTGCTTCTGTCTACTTTTTATGAGAAGATATTTCCCTTTTCACCGTAGGCATCAAGGCGCTCCAAATGTCCACTTCCAGATACTACAAAAAGTGTGTTTCAAACCTACTCTGTGAAAGGGAATATTCAACTCTGTGACTTGAATGCACATATCACAACGAAGCTTCTGAGAATGCTTCTGTCGAGATTTTATATGAAGATATTCCCGTTTCCAACGAAATCCTGAAATCTATCCAAATATCCCCTTGCAGATTCTACAAAAAGAGTGTTTCAAAACTGCTCTGTAAAAAGAAAGGTTCAACTCTGTTAGTTGAGTACACACATCACAAACAAGTTTCACAGAATGCTTCTTTCTAGCTTGTAGGGGAAGATATTCCCTTTATCACCATGGGCCTCAAACCGTCCGAAACATCCACTTCCATATACTACAAAAAGAGCGTTTCAAACCTGCTCTATGAAAGGCAATGTTCAACTCTGTGACTTGAATGCAGACATCACAGAGCAGTTTCTGAGAATGCTTTCTGTCTAGATTTTATAGGAAGATATTCCCGTTTCCAACGAAATCTTCACAGCTATCCAAATATCCACTTGCAGATTCTACAAAAAGAGTGTATCGAAACTGCTCTGTCAAAAGGAAGGTTCTTCTCTGTTAGGTGAGTGCATACGTCATAAAGGAGTTTCTGAGAATGTTTCTGTCTAGTGGTTATGGGAAGATATTTGCTTTTTCCCCGTAGGCCTCAGGGCCCTCCAAATGTCCACTTGCACATGCTACAAAAAGAGTGCTTCAAAGCTGCTCTCTGAAAGGGAATGTTCAACTCTATGAGTTGAATGCAAACATCACAAAGACGTTTCTGAGAATGCTTCTGTCTAGATTTGATATGAAGATATTCCCGTTTCCAACGAAATCTTCAAATCTATCCAAATGTCCACCTGCAGATTCAACAAAAAATGTTTTTCAGAACTGCTCTATCAAAAGAAAGATCCACCTCTGTTAGCTGAGTTCACACATCACAAACAAGTTAATGAGAATGCTTCTGTCTAGTTTTTATTTGAAGATATTTCCTTTCTCACCATAGACCTGAAAGCTTTCCTAATGTTCACTTCCAGATACTACAGAAAGAGTGGTTCAAAACTGCTGTACGAAAGGGAATGTTCAACTCTGTGACTTGAATGCACACATCACAAAGAAGTTTCTGAGGATGCTGCTGTCTAATTTTTATACGTAATCCCGTTACCAACGAAATCCTCCAAGCTATCTAAATATCCACTTGCAGATTCCACAGAAAGACTGTTTCAAAACTGCTCTGTCAATAGAAAGGTTCAACTCTGTTAGCTGCGTGCATATATCCCAAAGCAGATTCTGAGATTCCTTCTGTCTAGTTTTTATGGGAAGATATTTCCCTTTTCACCGTAGGCGTCGAGGCGCTCCAAATTTCCACTTCCAGATACTACAAAAAGAGTGTTTGAAACCTACTCTGTGAAAGGGAATATTCAACTCTGTGACTTGAATGCACATATCACAAAGAAGTTTCTGAGAATGCTTCTGTCGAGATTTTATATGAAGATATTCCCGTTTCCAACGAAATCCTGAAATCTATCCAAATATCCCCTCGCAGATTCTACAAAAAGAGTGTTTCAAAACTGCTCTGTAAAAAGAAAGGTTCAACCCTCTTAGTTGAGTACACACATCACAAACAAGTTTCACAGAATGCTTCTTTCTAGCTTGTAGGGGAAGATATTCCCTTTATCACCATGGACCTAAAACCGTCCGAAACGTCCACTTCCATATACTACAAAAAGAGCGTTTCAAACCTGCTCTAGGAAAGGCAATGTTCAACTCTGTGACTTGAATGCAGACATCACAGAGCAGTTTCTGAGAATGCTTCTGTCTAGATTTTATAGGAAGATATTCCCGTTTCCAACGAAATCTTCACAGCTATCCAAATATCCACTTGCAGATTCTACAAAAAGAGTGTATCAAAACTGCTCTGTCAAAAGGAAGGTTCTTCTCTGTTAGGTGAGTGCATACTTCATAAAGCAGTTTCTGAGAATGTTTCTGTCTAGTGGTTATGGGAAGATATTTGCTTTTTCACCGTAGGCCTCAGAGCGCTCCAAATATCCACTTGCACATACTACAAAAAGAGTGCCTCAAAGCTGCTCTCTGTAACGGAATGTTCAACTCTATGAGTTGAATGCAAACATCACAAAGACGTTTCTGAGAATGCTTCTGTCTAGATTTGATATGAAGATATTCCCGTTTCCAACGAAATCTTCAAATCTATCCAAATGTCCACTTGCAGATTCAACAAAAAGTGTTTTTCAGAACTGCTCTATCAAAAGAAAGATCCACCTCTGTTAGCTGAGTTCACACATCACAAACAAGTTTATGAAAATGCTTCTGTCTATTTTTTATTTGAAGATATAGCCTTTCTCACTATAGACATGAAAGCTCTCCTAAAGTTCACTTCCAGATACTTCAGAAAGAGTGTTTCAAAACTGCTGTACGAAAGGGAATGTTCAACTCTGTGACTTGAATGCACACATTACAAGGAAGTTTCTGTGGATGCTGCTGTCTAGCTTTTTATATCTGTAATCCCGTTTCCAACGAAATCCTCCAAGCTATCCAAATATCTACTTGCAGATTCCACAGAAAGACTGTTTCAAAACTGCTCTGTCAATAGAAAGGTTTAACTCTGTTAGCTGCGTGCATATATCCCAAAGAAGATTCTGAGATTGCTTCTGTCTAGTTTTTATGGGAAGATATTTCCCTTTTCACCGTAGGTGTCAAGGCGCTCCAAATGTCCACTTCCAGATACTACAAAAAGAGTGTTTCAAACCTACTCTGTGAAAGGGAATATTCAACTCTGTGACTCGAATGCACATATCACAAAGAAGTTTCTGAGAATGCTTCTGTCGAGATTTTATATGAAGATATTCCCGTTTCCAACGAAATCCTGAAATCTATCCAAATATCCCCTCGCAGATTCTACAAAAAGAATGTTTCAAAACTGCTCTGTAAAAAGAAAGGTTCAACTCTGTTATTTGAGTACACACATCACAAACAAGTTTCACAGAATGCTTCTTTCTAGCTTGTAGGGGAAGATATTCCCTTTATCACCATGGGCCTCCAACCGTCCGAAACATCCACTTCCATATACTACAAAAAGAGCGTTTCAAACCTGCTCTATGAAAGGCAATGTTCAACTCTGTGACTTGAATGCAGACATCACAGAGCAGTTACTGAGAATGCTTCTGTGTAGATTTTATAGGAAGATATTCCCGTTTCCAACGAAATCTTCACAGCTATCCAAATATCCACTTGCAGATTCTACAAAAAGAGTGTATCAAAACTGCTCTGTCAAAAGGAAGGTTCTTCTCTCTTAGGTGAGTGCATACGTCATAAAGGAGTTTCTGAGAATGTTTCTGTCTAGTGGTTATGGGAAGATATTTGCTTTTTCACCGTAGGCCTCAGAGCGCTCCAAATATCCACTTGCACATACTACAAAAAGAGTGCCTCAAAGCTGCTCTCTGAAACGGAATGTTCAACTCTATGAGTTGAATGCAAACATCGCAAAGACGTTTCTGAGAATGCTTCTGTCTAGATTTGATATGAAGATATTCCCGTTTCCAACTAAATCTTCAAATCTATCCAAATGTCCACTTGCAGATTCAACAAAAAGTGTTTTTCAGAACTGCTCTATCAAAAGAAAGATCCACCTCTGTTAGCTGAGTTCAGACATCACAAACAAGTTTATGAGAATGCTTCCTGTCTAGTTTTTATTTGAAGATATTTCCTTTCTCACCATAGAGCTGAAAGCTGTCCTAATGTTCACTTCCAGATACTACAGAAAGAGTGTTTCAAAACTGCTGTACGAAAGGGAATGTTCAACTCTGTGACTTGAATGCACACATCACAAAGAAGTTTCTGAGGATGCTGCTGTCTACTTTTTATATGTAATCCCGTTTCCAATGAAATCCTCCAAGCTATCCAAATATCCACTTGCAGATTCCACAAAAAGACTGTTTCAAAACTGCTCTGTCAATAGAAAGGTTCAACTCTGTTAGCTGCATGCATACATCCCAAAGAAGATTCTGAGATTGCCTCTGTGTAGTTTTTATGGGAAGATATTTCCTTTTTCACCATAGACGTCAAAGCGCTCCCAATGTCCACTTCCAGATACTACAAAAAGAGTGTTTCAAACCTGCTATGTGAAAGGGAATATTCAACTCTGTAACTTCAATGCATATATCACAAAGAGGTTTCGGAGAATGCTTCTGTCGAGATTTTATATGAAGATATTCCCGTTTCCAACGAAATCCTGAAATCTATCCAAATATCCCCTCGCAGATTCTACAAAAAGAGTGTTTCAAAACTGCTCTGTAAAAAGAATGGTTCAACTCTATTAGTTGAGTACACACATCACAAACAAGTTTCACAGAATGCTTCTTTCTAGCTTGTAGGGGAAGATATTCCCTTTATCACCATGGGCCTCAAACCGTCCGAAACGTCTACTTCCATATACTACAAAAAGAGCGTTTCAAACCTGCTCTAGGAAAGGCAATGTTCAACTCTGTGACTTGAATGCAGACATCACAGAGCAGTTTCTGAGAATGCTTCTGTCTAGATTTTATAGGAAGATATTCCCGTTTCCAGCAAAATCTTCACAGCTATCCAAATATCCACTTGCAGATTCTACAAAAAGAGTGTATCAAAACTGCTCTGTCAAATGGAAGGTTCTTCTCTGTTAGGTGAGTGCATACGTCATAAACGAGTTTCTGAGAATGTTTCTGTCTAGTGGTTATGGGAAGATATTTGCTTTTTCACCTTAGGCCTCAGAGCGCTCCAAATATCCCTTTACAAATCCTACAAAAAGAGTGCTTCAAAGCTGCTCTCTGAAAGGGAATGTTCAACTCTATGAGTTGAATGCAAACATCACAAAGACGTTTCTGGGAATGCTTCTGTCTAGATTTGATATGAAGATATTCCCGTTTCCAACGAAATCTTCAAATCTATCCAAATGTCCACTTGCAGATTCAACAAAATGTGTTTTTCAGAACTGCTCTATCAAAAGAAAGATCCACCTCTGTTAGCTGAGTTCACACATCACAAACAAGTTTATGAGAATGCTTCCGTCTAGTTTTTATTTGAAGATATTTCCTTTCTCACCATAGACCTGAAAGCTGTCCTAATGTTCACTTCCAGATACTACAGAAAGAGTGTTTCAAAACTGCTGTACGAAAGGGAATGTTCAACTCTGTGACTTGAATGCACACATCACAAAGAAGTTTCTGAGGATGCTGCTGTCTACTTTTTATACGTAATCCCGTTTCCAACGAAATCCTCCAAGCTATCCAAATATCCACTTGCAGATTCCACAGAAAGACTGTTTCAAAACTGCTCTGTCAATAGAAAGGTTCAACTCTGTTAGCGGCGTGCATAAATCCCAAAGAAGATTCTGAGATTGCTTCTGTCTAGTTTTTATGGGAAGATATTTCCCTTTTCACCGTAGGCGTCAAGGCGCTCCAAATGTCCACTTCCAGATACTACAAAAAGAGTGTTTCAAACCTACTCTGTGAAAGGGAATATTCAACTCTGTGACTTGAATGCACATATCACAAGGAAGTTTCTGAGAATGCTTCTGTCGAGATTTTATATGAAGATATTCCCGTTTCCAACGAAATGCTGAAATGTTTCCAAATATCCCCTCGCAGATTCTACAAAAAGAGTGTTTCAAAACTACTCTGTAAAAAGAAAGGTTCAACTCTGTTAGTTGAGTACACACATCACAAACAAGTTTCACAGAATGCTTCTTTCTAGCTTGTAGGGGAAGATATTCCCTTTATCACCATGGGCCTCAAACCGTCCGAAACGTCCACTTCCATATACTACAAAAAGAGCGTTTCAAACCTGCTCCATGAAAGGCAATGTTCAACTGTGTGACTTGAATGCAGACATCACAGAGCAGTTTCTGAGAATGCTTCTGTCTAGTGGTTATGGGAAGATATTTGCTTTTTCACCGTAGGCCTCAGAGCGCTCCAAATATCCACTTTCAGATTCTACAAAAAGAGTGTATCAAAACTGCTCTGTCAAAAGGAAGGTTCTTTTCTGTTAGGTGAGTGCATACGTCATAAAGGAGTTTCTGAGAATGTTTCTGTCTAGTGGTTATGGGAAGATATTTGCTTTTTCCCCGTATGCCTCAGGGCGCTCCAAATGTCCACTTGCACATGCTACAAAAAGAGTGCTTCAAAGCTGCTCTCTGAAAGGGAATGTTCAACTCTATGAGTTGAATGCAAACATCACAAAGACGTTTCTGAGAATGCTTCTGTCTAGATTTGATATGAAGATATTCCCGTTTCCAACGAAATCTTCAAATCTATCCAAATGTCCACTTGCAGATTTCAACAAAAAGTGTTTTTCAAAACTGCTGTATCAAAAGAAAGATCCACGTCTGTTAGCTGAGTTCACACATCACAAACAAGTTTATGAGAATGCTTCTGTCTAGTTTTTATTTGAAGATATTTCCTTTCTCACCATAGACCTGAAAGCTGTCCTAATGTTCACTTCCAGATACTACAGAAAGAGCGTTTCAAAACTGATGTACGAAAGGGAATGTTCAACTCTGTGACTTGAATGCACACATCACAAAGAAGTTTCTGAGGATGCTGCTGTCTACTTTTTATACGTAATCCCGTTTCCAACGAAATCCTCCAAGCTATCCAAATATCCACTTGCAGATTCTACAGAAAGACTGTTTCAAAACTGCTCTGTCAATAGAAAGGTTCAACTCTGTTAGCTGCGTGCATATATCCCAAAGAAGATTCTGAGATTGCTTCTGTCTAGTTTTTACGGGAAGATATTTCCCTTTTCACCATAGGTGTCAAGGCGCTCCAAATGTCCACTTCCAGATACTACAAAAAGAGTGTTTCAAACCTACTCTGTGAAAGGGAATATTCCGCTCTGTGACTTGAATGCAGATATCACAATGAAGTTTCTGAGAATGCTTCTGTCGAGATTTTGTATGAAGATATTCCCGTTTCCAACGAAATCCTGAAATCTATCCAAATATCCCCTCGCAGATTCTACAAAAAGAGTGTTTCAAAACTGCTCTGTGAAAAGAAAGGTTCAACTCTGTTAGTTGAGTACACACATCACAAACAAGTTTCACAGAATGCTTCTTCTTTCTAGCTTGTAGGGGAAGATATTCCCTTTATCACCATGGGCCTCAAACCGTCCGAAAAGTCCACTTCCATATACTACAAAAAGAGCGTTTCAAACCTGCTCTATGAAAGGCAATGTTCAACTCTGTGACTTGAATGCAGACATCACAGAGCAGTTTCTGAGAATGCTTCTGTCTAGATTTTATAGGAAGATATTCCCGTTTCCAACGAAATCTTCACAGCTATCCAAATATCCACTTGCAGATTCTACAAAAAGAGTGTATCAAAACTGCTCTGTCAAAAGGAAGGTTCTTCTCTGTTAGGTGAGTGCATACGTCATAAAGGAGTTTCTCAGAATGTTTCTGTCTAGTGGTTATGGGAAGATATTTGCATTTTCACCGTAGGCCTCAGAGCGCTCCAAATATCCACTTGCACATACTACAAAAAGAGTGCCTCAAAGCTGCTCTCTGAAAGGGAATGTTCAACTCTATGAGTTGAATGCAAACATCGCAAAGACGTTTCTGAGAATGCTTCTGTCTAGATTTGATATGAAGATATTCCCGTTTCCAAAGAAATCTTCAAATCTATCCAAATGTCCACTTGCAGATTCAACAAAAAGTGTTTTTCAGAACTGCTCTATCAAAAGAAAGATCCACGTCTCTTAGCTGAGTTCACACATCACAAACAAGTTTATGAGAATGCTTCCGTCTAGTTTTTATTTGAAGATATTTCCTTTCTCACCATAGACCTGAAAGCTGTCCTAATGTTCACTTCCAGATACTACAGAAAGAGTGTTTCAAAACTGCTGTACGAAAGGGAATGTTCAACTCTGTGACTTGAATGCACACATCACAAAGGAGTTTCTGAGGATGCTGCTGTCTACTTTTTATACGTAATCCCGTTTCCAACGAAATCCTCCAAGCTATCCAAATATCCACTTGCAGATTCCACAGAAGGACTGTTTCAAAACTACTCTGTCAATAGAAAGGTTCAACTCTGTTAGCTGCGTGCATATATCCCAAAGAAGATTCTGAGATTGCTTCTGTCTAGTTTTTATGTGAAGATATTTCCCTTTTCACCGTAGGCGTCAAGGCGCTCCAAATGTCCACTTCCAGATACTACAAAAAGAGTGTTTCAAACCTACTCTGTGAAAGGGAATATTCAACTCTGTGACTTGAATGCACATATCACAAAGAAGTTTCTGAGAATGCTTCTGTCGAGATTTTATATGAAGATATTCCCGTTTCCAACGAAATCCTGAAATCTATCCAAATATCCCCTCGCAGATTCTACAAAAAGAGTGTTTCAAAACTGCTCTGTGAAAAGAAAGGGTCAACTCTGTTAGTTGAGTACACACATCACAAACAAGTTTCACAGAATGCTTCTTTCTAGCTTGTAGGGGAAGATATTCCCTTTATCACCATCGGCCTCAAACCGTCTGAAACGTCCACTTCCAGATACTACAAAAAGAGCATTTCAAACCTGCTCTATGAAAGGCAATGTTCAACTCTGTGACTTGAATGCAGACATCACAGAGCAGTTTCTGAGAATGCTTCTGTCTAGATTTTATAGGAAGATATTCCCGTTTCCAACGAAATCTTCACAGCTATCCCAAATATCCACTTGCAGATTCTACAAAAAGAGTGTATCAAAACTGCTCTGTCAAAAGGAAGGTTCTTCTCTGTTAGGTGAGTGCATACGTCATAAAGGAGTTTCTGAGAATGTTTCTGTCTAGTGGTTATGGGAAGATATTTGCTTTTTCCCCGTAGGCCTCAGGGCGCTCCACATGTCCACTTGCACATGCTACAAAAAGAGTGCTTCAAAGCTGCTCTCTCAAAGGGAATGTTCAACTCTATGAGTTGAATGCAAACATCGCAAAGACGTTTCTGAGAATGCTTCTGTCTAGATTTGATATGAAGATATTCCCGTTTCCAACGAAATCTTCATATCTATCCAAATGTCCACTTGCAGATTCAACAAAAAGTGTTTTTCAAAACTGCTGTATCAAAAGAAAGATCCACGTCCGTTAGCTGAGTTCACACATCACAAACAAGTTTATGAGAATGCTTCTGTCTAGTTTTTATTTGAAGATATTTCCTTTCTCACCATAGACCTGAAAGCTGTCCTATTGTTCACTTCCAGATACTAAAGAAAGAGTGTTTCAAAACTGCTGTACGAAAGGGAATGTTCAACTCTGTGACTTCAATGCACACATCACAAAGAAGTTTCTGAGGATGCTGCTGTCTACTTTTTATACGTAATCCCGTTTCCAATGAAATCCTCCAAGCTATCCAAGTATCCACTTGCAGATTCCACAGAAAGAGTGTTTCAAAACTGCTCTGTCAATAGAAAGGTTCAACTCTGTTAGCTGCGTGCATATATCCCAAAGAAGATTCTGAGATTGCTTCTGTCTAGTTTTTATGGGAAGATATTTCCCTTTTCACCGTAGGCGTCAAGGCGCTCCAAATGTCCACTTCCAGATACTACAAAAAGAGTGTTTCAAACCTACTCTGTGAAAGCGAATATTCAACTCTGTGACTTTAATGCACATATCACAAAGAAGTTTCTGAGAATGCTTCTGTCGAGATTTTATATGATAGATATTCCCGTTTCCAACGAAATCCTGAAATCTATCCAAATATCCCCTCGCAGATTCTACAAAAAGAGTGTTTCAAAACTGCTCTGTAAAAAGAAAGGTTCAACTCTGTTAGTTGAGTACACACATCACAAACAAGTTTCACAGAATGCTTCTTTCTAGCTTGTAGGGGAAGATTTTCCCTTTATCACCATGGGCCTCCAACCGTCCGAAACATCCACTTCCATATACTACAAAAAGAGCGTTTCAAACCTGCTCTATGAAAGGCAATGTTCAACTCTGTGACTTGAATGCAGACATCACAGAGCAGTTTCTGAGAATGCTTCTGTCTAGATTTTATAGGAAGATATTCCCGTTTCCAACGAAATCTTCACAGCTATCCAAATATCCACTTGCAGATTCTACAAAAAGAGTGTATCAAAACTGCTCAGTCAAAAGAAAGGTTCTTCTCTGTTAGGTGAGTGCATACGTCATAAAGGAGTTTCTGAGAATGTTTCTGTCTAGTGGTTATGGGAAGATATTTGCTTTTTCCCCGTAGGCCTCAGGGCGCTCCAAATGTCCACTTGCACATGCTACAAAAAGAGTGCTTCAAAGCTTCTCTCTGAAAGGGAATGTTCAACTCTATGAGTTGAATGCAAACATCACAAAGACGTTTCTGAGAATGCTTCTGTCTAGATTTGATATGAAGATATTCCCGTTTCCAACGAAATCTTCAAATCTATCCGAATGTCCACTTGCAGATTCAACAAAAAGTGTTTTTCAGAACTGCTCTATCAAAAGAAAGATCCACCTCTGTTAGCTGAGTTCACACATCACAAACAAGTTTATGAGAATGCTTCTGTCTAGTTTTTATTTGAAGATATTTCCTTTCTCACCATAGAGCTGAAAGCTGTCCTAATGTTCACTTCCAGTTACTACAGAAAGAGTGTTTCAAAACTGCTGTACGAAAGGGAATGTTCAACTCTGTGACTTGAATGCACACATCACAAAGAAGTTTCTGAGGATGCTGCTGTCTACTTTTTATACGTAATCCCGTTTCCAACGAAATCCTCCAATCTATCCAAATATCCACTTGCAGATTCCACAGAAAGACTGTTTCAAAACTGCTCTGTCAATAGAAAGGTTCAACTCTGTTAGCTGCGTGCAGATATCCCAAGGAAGATTCTGAGATTGCTTCTGTCTAGTTTTTATGGGAAGATATTTCCCTTTTCACCGTAGGCGTCAAGTCGCTCCAAATGTCCACTTCCAGATACTACAAAAAGAGTGTTTCAAACCTACTCTGTGAAAGGGAATATTCAACTCTGTGACTTGAATGCAGATATCACAAAGAAGTTTCTGAGAATGCTTCTGTCGAGATTTTATATGAAGATATTCCCGTTTCCAACGAAATCCTGAAATCTCTCCAAATATCCCCTCGCAGATTCTACAAAAAGAGTGTATGAAAACTGCTCTGTCAAAAGGTAGGTTCTTCTCTGTTAGGTGAGTGCATACGTCATAAAGGAGTTTCTGAGAATGTTTCTTTCTAGCTTGTAGGGGAAGATATTCCCTTTATCACCATGGGCCTCAAACCGTCCGAAATGTCCACTTCCATATACTACAAAAAGAGCGTTTCAAACCTGCTCTATGAAAGGCAATGTTCAACTCTGTGACTTGAATGCAGACATCACAGAGCAGTTTCGGAGAATGCTTCTGTCTAGATTTTATAGGAAGATATTCCCGTTTCCAACGAAATCTTCACAGCTATCCAAATATCCACTTGCAGATCCTACAAAAAGAGTGTATCAAAACTGCTCTGTCAAAAGGAAGGTTCTTCTCTGTTAGTTGAGTACATACGTCATAAAGGAGTTTCTGAAAATGTTTCTGTCTAGTGGTTATGGGAAGATATTTGCTTTTTCACCTTAGGCCTCAGAGCGCTCCAAATATCCCCTTGCACATACTACAAAAAGAGTGCTTCAAAGCTGCTCTCTGAAAGGGAATGTTCAACTCTATGAGTTGAATGCAAACATCACAAAGACGTTTCTGAGAATGCCTCTGTCTAGATTTGATATGAAGATATTCCCGTTTCCAACGAAATCTTCAAATCTATACAAATGTCCATTTGCAGATTCAACAAAATGTGTTTTTCAGAACTGCTCTATCAAAAGAAAGATCCACCTCTGTTAGCTGAGCTCACACATCACAAACAAGTTTATGAGAATGCTTCTGTCTAGTTTTTATTTGAAGATATTCCCTTTCTCACCATAGACCTGTAAGCTGTCCTAATGTTCACTTCCAGATACTACAGAAAGAGTGTTTCAAAACTGCTGTACGAAAGGGAATGTTCAACTCTGTGACTTGAATGCACACATCACAAAGAAGTTTCTGAGGATGCTGCTGTCTACTTTTTATACGTAATCCCGTTTCCAACGAAATCCTCCAATCTATCCAAATATCCACTTGCAGATTCCACAGAAAGACTGTTTCAAAACTGCTGTGTCTATAGAAAGGTTCAACTCTGTTAGCTGCGTGCATATATCCCAAAGAAGATTCTGAGATTGCTTCTGTCTAGTTTTTATGGGAAGATATTTCCCTTTTCACCGTAGGCGTCAAGGCGCTCCAAATGTCCACTTCCAGATACTACAAAAAGAGTGTTTCAAACCTACTCTGTGAAAGGGAATATTCAACTTTGTGACTTGAATGCACATATCACAAAGAAGTTTCTGAGAATGCTTCTGTCGAGATTTTATATGAAGATATTCCCGTTTCCAACGAAATCCTGAAATCTATCCAAATATCCCCTCGCAGATTCTACAAAAAGAGTGTTTCAAAACTGCTCTGTAAAAAGAAAGGTTCAACTCTGTTAGTTGAGTACACACTTCACAAACAAGTTTCACAGAATGCTTCTTTCTAGCTTGTAGGGGAAGATATTCCCTTTATCACCATGGGCCTCAAACCGTCCGAAACGTCCACTTCCATATAGTACAAAAAGAGCGTTTCAAACCTGCTCTATGAAAGGCAATGTTCAACTCTGTGACTTGAATGCAGACATCACAGAGCAGTTTCTGAGAATGCTTCTGTCTAGATTTTATAGGAAGATATTCCCTGTTTCCAACGAAATCTTCACAGCTATCCAAATATCCACTTGCAGATTCTACAAAAAGAGTGTATCAAAACTACTCTGTCAAAAGGAAGGTTCTTCTCTGTTAGGTGAGTGCATACATCATAAAGGAGTTTCTGAGAATGTTTCTGTCTAGTGGTTATGGGAAGATATTTGCTTTTTCACCGTAGGCCTCAGAGCGCTCCAAATATCCACTTGAACATACTACAAAAAGAGTGCTTCAAAGCTGCTCTCTGAAACGGAATGTTCAACTCTATGAGTTGAATGCAAACATCACAAAGACGTTTACTGAGAATGCTTCTGTCTAGATTTGATATGAAGATATTCCCGTTTCCAACGAAATCTTCAAATCTATCCAAATGTCCACTTGCAGATTCAACAAAAAGTGTTTTTCAGAACTGCTCTATCAAAATAAAGATCCACCTCTGTTACCTGAGTTCACACTTCACAAACAAGTTTTTGAGAATGCTTCTGTCTAGTTTTTATTTGAAGATATTTCCCTTCTCACCATAGAGTGAAAGCTGTCCTAATGTTCACTTCCAGATACTACAGAAAGAGTGTTTCAAAACTGCTGTACGAAAGGGAATGTTCAACTCTGTGACTTGAATGCACACATCACAAAGAAGTTTCTGAGGATGCTGCTGTCTACTTTTTATACGTAATCCCGTTTCCAACGAAATCCTCCAAGCTATCCAAATATCCACTTGCAGATTCCACAGAAACACTGTTTCAAAACTGTTCTGTCAATAGAAAGGTTCAACTATGTTAGCTGCGTGCATATATCCCAAAGAAGATTCTGAGATTGCTTCTGTCTAGTTTTTATGGGAAGATATTTCCCTTTTCACCGTAGGCGTCAAGGCGCTCCAATGTCCAATTCCAGATAGTATAAAAAGAGTGTTTCAAACCTCCTCTGTGAAAGGGAATATTCAACTCTGTGACTGTAATGCAGATATCACAAAGAAGTTTCTGAGAATGCTTCTGTCGAGATTTTATATGAAGATATTCCCGTTTCCAACGAAATCCTGAAATGTATCCAAATATCCCCTCGCAGATTCTACAAAAAGAGTGTTTCAAAACTGCTCTGTGAAAAGAAAGGTTCAACTCTGTTAGTTGAGTACACACATCACAAACAAGTTTCACAGAATGCTTCTTTCTAGCTTGTAGGGGAAGATATTCCCTTTATCACCATGGTCCTCAAACCGTTCGAAACGTCCTCTTCCATATAGTACAAAAAGAGCGTTTCAAACCTGCTCTATGAAAGGCAATGTTCAACTCTGTGACTTGAATGCAGACATCACAGAGCAGTTTCTGAGAATGCTTCTGTCTAGATTTTATAGGAAGATATTCCCGTTTCCAACGAAATCTTCACAGCTATCCAAATATCCACTTGCAGATTCTACAAAAAGAGTGTATCAAAACTGCTCTGTCAAAAAGAGGGTTCTTCTCTGTTAGTTGAGTACATACGTCATAAAGGAGTTTCTGAGAATGTTTCTGTCTAGTGGTTATGGGAAGATATTTGCTTTTTCACCGTAGGCCTCAGAGCGCTCCAAATATCCCCTTGCACATACTACAAAAAGAGTGCTTCAAAGCTGCGCTCTGAAAGGGAATGTTCAACTCTGTGAGTTGAATGCAAACATCACAAAGACGTTTCTGAGAATGCTTCTGTCTAGATTTGATATGAAGATATTCCCGTTTCCAACGAAATCTTCAAATCTATCCAAATGTCCACTTGCAGATTCAACAAAAAGTGTTTTTCAGAACTGCTCTATCAAAGGAAAGATCCACCTCTGTTAGCTGAGTTCACACATCACAAACAAGTTTATGAGAATGCTTCTGTCTAGTTTTTATTTGAAGATATTTCCTTTCTCACCATAGACCTGAAAGCTGTCCTAATGTTCACTTCCAGTTACTACAGAAAGAGTATTTCAAAACTGCTGTACGAAAGGGAATGTTCAACTCTGTGACTTGAATGCACACATCACAAAGAAGTTTCTGAGGATGCTGCTGTCTACTTTTTATACGTAATCCTGTTTCCAACGAAATCCTCCAAGCTATCCAAATATCCACTTGCAGATTCCACAGAAAGACTGTTTCAAAACTGCTATGTCAATAGAAAAGTTCAACTCTGTTAGCTGTGTGCATATATCCCAAAGAAAATTCTGAGATTGCTTCTGTCTAGTTTTTATGGGAAGATATTTCCCTTTTCACCGTAGGCGTCAAGGCGCTCCAAATGTCCACTTCCAGATACTACAAAAAGAGTGTTTCAAACCTACTGTGTGAAAGGGAATATTCAACTCTGTGACTTGAAGGCAGATATCACAAAGAAGTTTCTGAGAATGCTTCTGTCGAGATTTTATATGAAGATATTCCCCTTTCCAACGAAATCCTGAAATCTATCCAAATATGCCCTCGCAGATTCTACAAAAAGAGTGTTTCAAAACTGCTCTGTAAAAAGAAAGGTTCAACTCTGTTAGTTGAGTACACACATCACAAACAAGTTTCACAGAATGCTTCTTTCTAGCTTGTAGGGGAAGATATTCCCTTTATCACCATGGGCCTCAAACCGTCTGAAACGTCCACTTCCATATACTACAAAAAGAGCATTTCAAACCTGCTCTATGAAAGGCAATGTTCAACTCTGTGACTTGAATGCAGACATCACAGAGCAGTTTCTGAGAATGCTTCTGTCTAGATTTTATAGGAAGATATTCCTGTTTCCAACGAAATCTTCACAGCTATCCAAATATCCACTTGCAGATTCTACAAAAAGAGTGTATCAAAACTGCTCTGTCAAAAGGAAGGTTCTTCTATGTTAGGTGAGTGCATACGTCATAAAGGAGTTTCTGAGAATGTTTCTGTCTAGTGGTTATGGGAAGATATTTGCTTTTTCACCGTAGGCCTCAGAGCGCTCCAAATATCCACTTGCACATACTACAAAAAGTGTGCCTCAAAGCTGCTCTCTGAAACGGAATGTTCAACTCTATGAGTTGAATGCAAACATCCCAAAGACGTTTCTGAGAATGCTTCTGTCAAAATTTGATATGAAGATATTCCAGTTTCCAACGAAATCTTCAAATCTATCCAAATGTCCACTTGCAGATTCAACAAAAAGTGTTTTTCAGAACTGCTCTATCAAAAGAAAGATCCACCTCTGTTAGCTGAGTTCACACATCACAAACAAGTTTATGAGAATGCTTTTGTCTAGTTTTTATTTGAAGATATTTCCTTTCTCACCATAGACCTGAAAGCTGTCCTAATGTTCACTTCCAGTTACTACAGAAAGAGTGTTTGAAAACTGCTGTACGAAAGGGAATGTTCAACTCTGTGACTTGAATGCACACATCACAAAGAAGTTTCTGAGGATGCTGCTGTCTACTTTTTATACGTAATCCCGTTTCCAACGAAATCCTCCAAGCTATCCAAATATCCACTTGCAGATTCCACAGAAAGACTGTTTCAAAACTGCTCTGTCAATAAGAAAGGTTCAACTCTGTTAGCTGCGTGCATATATCCCAAAGAAGATTCTGAGATTGCTTCTGTCTAGTTTTTATGGGAAGATATTTCCCTTTTCACCGTAGGTGTCAAGGCGCTCCAAATGTCCACTTCCAGATACTACAAAAAGAGTGTTTCAAACCTACTCTGTGAAAGGGAATATTCAACTCTGTGACTTGAATGCAGATATCACAAAGAAGTTTCTGAGAATGCTTCTGTCGAGATTTTATATGAAGATATTCCCGTTTCCAACGAAATCCTGAAATCTATCCAAATATCCCCTCGCAGATTCTACAAAAAGAGTGTTTCAAAACTGCTCTGTAAAAAGAAAGGTTCAACCTTCTTAGTTGAGTACACACATCACAAACAAGTTTCACAGAATGCTTCTTTCTAGCTTGTAGGGGAAGATATTCCCTTTATCACCATGGGCCTCCAACCGTCCGAAACATCCACTTCCATATACTACAAAAAGAGCGTTTCAAACCTGCTCTATGAAAAGCAATGTTCAACTCTGTGACTTGAATGCAGACATCACAGAGCAGTTTCTGAGAATGCTTCTGTCTAGCATTTTATAGGAAGATATTCCCGTTTCCAACGAAATCTTCACAGGTATCAAAATATCCACTTGCAGATTCTACAAAAAGAGTGTATCAAAACTGCTCTGTCAAAAGGAAGGTTCTTCTCTGTTAGGTGAGTGCATACGTCATAAAGGAGTTTCTGAGAATGTTTCTGTCTAGTGGTTATGGGAAGATATTTGCTTTTTCACCGTAGGCCTCAGAGCACTCCAAATATCCACTTGCACATACTACAAAAAGAGTGCCTCAAAGCTGCTCTCTGAAATGGAATGTTCAACTCTATGAGTTGAATGCAAACATCACAAAGACGTTTCTGAGAATGCTTCTGTCTAGATTTGATATGAAGATATTCCCGTTTCCAACGAAATCTTCAAAACTATCCAAATGTCCACTTGCAGATTCAACAAAAAGTGTTTTTCAGAACTGCTCTATCAAAAGAAAGATCCACCGTTGTTAGCTGAGTTCACACATCACAAACAAGTTTATGAGAATGCTTCTGTCTAGTTTTTATTTGAAGATATTTCCTTTCTTACCATAGACCTGAAAGCTGTCCTAATGTTCACTTCCAGATACTACAGAAAGAGTGTTTCAAAACTGCTGTACGAAAGGGAATGTTCAACTCTGTGACTTGAATGCACACATCACAAAGAAGTTTCTGAGGATGCTGCTGTCTACTTTTTATACGTAATCCCGTTTCCAAAAAAATCCTCCAAGCTATCCAAATATCCACTTGCAGATTCCACAGAAAGACTGTTTCAAAACTGCTCTGTCAATAGAAAGGTTCAACTCTGTTAGCTGCGTGCATATATCCCAAAGAAGATTCTGAGATTGCTTCTGTCTAGTTTTTATGGGAAGATATTTCCCTTTTCACCCTAGGCGTCAAGGCGCTCCAAATGTCCACTTCCAGATACTACAAAAAGAGTGTTTCAAACCTACTCTGTGAAAGGGAATATTCAACTCTGTGACTTGAATGCACATATCACAAAGAAGTTTCTGAGAATGCTTCTGTCGAGATTTTATATGAAGATATTCCCGTTTCCAACGAAATCCTGAAATCTATTCAAATATCCCCTCGCAGATTCTTCAAAAAGAGTGTTTCAATACTGCTCTGTAAAAAGAAAGGTTCAACTCTGTTAGTTGAGTACACACATCACAAACAAGTTTCACAGAATGCTTCTTTCTAGCTTGTAGGGGAAGATATTCCCTTTATCACCATGGGCCTCAAACTGTCCGAAACGTCCACTTCCATATACTACAAAAAGAGCGTTTCAAACCTTCTCTATGAAAGGCAATGTTCAGCTCTGTGACTTGAATGCAGACATCACAGAGCAGTTTCTGAGAATGCTTCTGTCTAGATTTTATAGGAAGATATTCCCGTTTCCAACAAAATCTTCACAGCTATCCAAATATCCACTTGCAGATTCTACAAAAAGAGTGTATCAAAACTGCTCTGTCAAAAGGAAGGTTCTTCTCTGTTAGGTGAGTGCATACGTCATAAAGGAGTTTCTGAGAATGTTTCTGTCTAGTGGTTATGGGAAGATATTTGCTTTTTCACCGTAGGCCTCAGGAGCGCTCCAAATATCCACTTGCACATACTACAAAAAGAGTGCCTCAAGGCTGCTCTCTGAAACGGAATGTTCAACTCTATGAGTTGAATGCAAACATCGCAAAGACGTTTCTGAGAATGCTTCTGTCTAGATTTGATATGAAGATATTCCCGTTTCCAACGAAATCTTCAAATCTATCCAAATGTCCACTTGCAGATTCAACAAAAAGTGTTTTTCAGAACTGCTCTATCAAAAGAAAGATCCAACTCTGTTAGCTGAGTTCACACATCACAAACAAGTTTATGAGAATGCTTCTGTCTAGTTTTTATTTGAAGATATTTCCTTTCTCAATATAGACGTGAAAGCTGTCCTAATATTCACTTCCAGATACTACAGAAAGAGTGTTTCAAAACTGCTGTACGAAAGGGAATGTTCAACTCTGTGACTTGAATGCACACATCACAAAGAAGTTTCTGAGGATGCTGCTGTCTACTTTTTATACGTAATCCCGTTTCCAACGAAATCCTCCAAGCTATCCAAATATCCACTTGCAGATTCCACAGAAAGACTGTTTCAAAACTGGTCTGTCAATAGAAAGGTTCAACTCTGTTAGCTGCGTGCATATATCCCAAAGAAGATTCTGAGATTGCTTCTGTCTAGTTTTTATGGGAAGATATTTCCCTTTTCACCATAGGTGTCAAGGCGCTCCAAATGTCCACTTCCAGATACTACAAAAAGAGTGTTTCAATCCTACTCTGTGAAAGGGAATATTCAACTCTGTGACTTGAATGGAGATATCACAAAGAAGTTTCTGAGAATGCTTCTGTCGAGATTTTATATGAAGATATTCCCGTTTCCAACGAAATCCTGAAATCTATCCAAATATCCGCTCGCAGATTCTACAAAAAGAGTGTTTCAAAACTGTTCTGTGAAAAGAAAGGTTCAACTCTGTTAGTTGAGTACACACATCACAAACAAGTTTCACAGAATGCTTCTTTCTAGCTTGTAGGGGAAGATATTCCCTTTATCACCATGGGCCTCCAACCGTCAGAAACATCCACTTCCATATACTACAAAAAGAGCGTTTCAAACCTGCTCTATGAAAGGCAATGTTCAACTCTGTGACTTGAATGCAGACATCACAGAGCAGTTTCTGAGAATGCTTCTGTCTAGAATTTATAGGAAGATATTCCCGTTTCCAACGAAATCTTCACAGCTATCCAAATATCCACTTGCATATTCTACAAAAAGAGTGTATCAAAACTGCTCTGTCAAAAGGAAGGTTCTTCTCTGTTAGGTGAGTGCATACGTCATAAAGGAGTTTCTGAGAATGTTTCTGTCTAGTGGTTATGGGAAGATATTTGCTTTTTCACCATAGGCCTCAGAGCGCTCCAAATATCCACTTGCACATACAACAAAAAGAGTGCTTCAAAGCTGCTCTCTGAAAGGGAATGTTCAACTCTATGAGTTGAATGCTAACATCACAAAGACGTTTCTGAGAATGCTTCTGTCTAGATTTGATATGAAGATATTCCCGTTTCCAACGAAATCTTGAAATCTATCCAAATGTCCACTTGCAGATTCAACAAAAAGTGTTTTTCAGAACTGCTCTATCAAAAGAAAGATCCACCTCTGTTAACTGAGTTCACACATCACAAACAAGTTTATGAGAATGCTTCTGTCTAGTTTTTATTTGAAGATATTTCCTTTCTCACCGTAGAGCTGAAAGCTGTCCTAATGTTCACTTCCAGATACTACAGAAAGAGTGTTTCAAAACTGCTGTACGAAAGGGAATGTTCAACTCTGTGACTTGAATGCACACATCACAAAGAAGTTTCTGAGGATGCTGCTGTCTACTTTTTATACGTAATCCCGTTTCCAACGAAATCCTCCAATCTATCCAAATATCCACTTGCAGATTCCACAGAAAGACTGTTTCAAATCTGCTCAGTCAATAGAAAGGTTCAACTCTGTTAGCTGCGTGCATATATCACAAAGAAGATTCTGAGATTGCTTCTGTCTAGTTTTTATGGGAAGATATTTCCCTTTTCACCGTAGGCGTCAAGGCGCTCCAAATGTCCACTTCCAGATACTACAAAAAGAGTGTTTCAAACATACTCTGTGAAAGGGAATATTCAACTCTGTGACTTGAATGCACATACCACAAAGAAGTTTCTGAGAATGCTTCTGTCGAGATTTTATATGAAGATATTCCCGTTTCCAACGAAATCCTGAAATGTATCCAAATATCCCCTCGCAGATTCTACAAAAAGAGTGTTTCAAAACTGCTCCTGTAAAAAGAAAGGTTCAACTCTGTTAGTTGAGTACACACATCACAAACAAGTTTCACAGAATGCTTCTTTCTAGCTTGTAGGGGAAGATATTCCCTTTATCACCATGGGCCTCAAACCGTCCGAAACGTTTACTTCCATATACTACAAAAAGAGCGTTTCAAACCTGCTCTATGAAAGGCAATGTTCAACTCTGTGACTTGAATGCAGACATCACAGAGCAGTTTTGAGAATGCTTCTGTCTAGATTTTATAGGAAGATATTTCCGTTTCCAAAGAAACCTTCACAGCTATCCAAATATCCACTTGCAGATTCTACAAAAAGAGTGTATCAAAACTGCTCTGTCAAAAGGAAGGTTCTTCTCTGTTAGGTGAGTGCATACGTCATAAAGGAGTTTCTGAGAATGTTTCTGTCTAGTGGTTATGGGAAGATATTTGCTTTTTCACCGTAGGCCTCAGAGCGCTCCAAATATCCCCTTGCACATACTACAAAAAGAGTGCTTCAAAGCTGCTCTCTGAAAGGGAATGTTCAACTCTATGAGTTGAATGCAAACATCACAAAGACGTTTCTGAGAATGCTTCTGTCTAGATTTGATATGAAGATATTCCCGGTTCCAACGAAATCTTCAAATCTATCCAAATGTCCACTTGCAGATTCAACAAAAAGTGTTTTTCAAAACTGCTGTATCAAAAGAAAGATCCACGTCTGTTAGCTGAGTTCACACATCACAAACAAGTTTATGAGAATGCTTCTGTCTAGTTTTTATTTGAAGATATTTCCTTTCTCACCATAGACCTGAAAGCTTTCCTAATGTTCACTTCCAGATACTACAGAAAGAGTGTTTCAAAACTGCTGTACGAAAGGGAATGTTCAACTCTGTGACTTGAATGCACACATCACAAAGAAGTTTCTGAGGATGCTGCTTTCTACTTTTTATACGTAATCCCGTTTCTAACGAAATCCTCCAAGCTATCCAAATATCCACTTGCAGATTCCACAGAAAGACTGTTTCAAAACTGCTCTGTCAATAGAAAGGTTCAACTCTGTTAGCTGCGTGCATATATCCCAAAGAAGATTCTGAGATTGCTTCTGTCTAGTTTTTATGGGAAGATATTTCCCTTTTCACCATAGGTGTCAACGCGCTCCAAATGTCCACTTCCAGATACTACAAAAAGAGTGTTTCAAACCTACTCTGTGAAAGGGAATATTCAACTCTGTGACTTGAATGCACATATCACAAAGAAGTTTCTGAGAATGCTTCTGTCGAGATTTTATATGAAGATATTCCCTTTTCCAACGAAATCCTGAAATCTATCCAAATATCCCCTCGCAGATTCTACAAAAAGAGTGTTTCAAAACTGCTCTGTAAAAAGAAAGGTTCAACTCTGTTAGTTGAGTACACACATCACAAACAAGTTTCACAGAATGCTTCTTTCTAGCTTGTAGGGGAAGATATTCCCTTTATCACCATGGGCCTCAAACCGTCCGAAACGTCCACTTCCATATACTACAAAAAGAGTGTTTCAAACCTGCTCTATGAAAGGCAACGTTCAACTCTGTGACTTGAATGCAGACATCACAGAGCAGTTTCTGAGAATGCTTCTGTCTAGATTTTATAGGAAGATATTCCCGTTTCCAACGAAATCTTCACAGCTATCCAAATATCCACTTGCAGATTCTACAAAAAGAGTGTATCAAAACTGCTCTGTCAAAAGGCAGGTTCTTCTCTGTTAGGTGAGTGCATACGTCATAAAGGAGTTTCTGAGAATGTTTCTGTCTGGTGGTTATGGGAAGATATTTGCTTTTTCCCCGTACGCCTCAAAGCGCTCCAAATGTCCACTTGCACATACTACAAAAAGAGTGCTTCAAAGCTGCTCTCTGAAAGGGAATGTTCAACTCTATGAGTTGAATGCAAACATCACAACGACGTTTCTGAGAATGCTTCTGTCTAGATTTGATATGAAGATATTCCCGTTTCCAACGAAATCTTCAAATCTATCCAAATGTCCTCTTGCAGATTCAACAAAAAGTGTTTTTCAGAACTGCTCTATCAAAAGAAAGATCCACGTGTGTTAGCTGAGTTCACACATCACAAACAAGTTTATGAGAATGCTTCTGTCTAGTTTTTATTTGAAGATATTTCCTTTCTCACCATACACCTGAAAGCTGTCCTAATGTTCACTTCCAGATACTACAGAAAGAGTGTTTCAAAACTGCTGTACGAAAGGGAATGTTCAACTCTGTGACTTGAATGCACACATCACAAAGAAGTTTCTGAGGATGCTGCTGGCTACTTTTTATACGTAATCCCGTTTCCAACGAAATCCTCCAAGCTATCCAAATATCCACTTGCAGATTCCACAGAAAGACTGTTTCAAAACTGCTCTGTCAATAGAAAGGTTCAACTCTGTTAGCTGCGTGCATATATCCCAAAGAAGATTCTGAGATTGCTTCTGTCTAGTTTTTATGGGAAGATATTTCCCTTTTCACCGTAGTTGTCAAGGCGCTCCAAATGTCCACTTCCAGATACTACAAAAAGAGTGTTTCAAACCTACTCTGTGAAAGGGAATATTCAACTCTGTGACTTGAATGCACATATCACAAAGAAGTTTCTGAGAATGCTTCTGTCGAGAATTTTATATGAAGATATTCCCCTTTCCAACGAAATCCTGAAATCTATCCAAATATCCCCTCGCAGATTCTACAAAAAGAGTGTTTCAAAACTGCTCTGTAAAAAGAAAGGTTCAACTCTGTTAGTTGAGTACACACCTCACAAACAAGTTTCACAGAATGCTTCTTTCTAGCTTGTAGGGGAAGATATTCCCTTTATCACCATGGTCCTCAAACCGTCCGAAACGTCCACTTCCATATACTACAAAAAGAGCGTTTCAAACCTGCTCTAGGAAAGGCAATGTTCAACTCTGTGACTTGAATGCAGACATCACAGAGTAGTTTCTGAGAATGCTTCTGTCTAGATTTTATAGGAAGATATTCCCGTTTCCAACGAAATATTCACAGCTATCCAAATATCCACTTGCAGATTCTACAAAAAGAGTGTATCAAAACTGCTCTGTCAAAAGGAAGGTTCTTCCTCTGTTAGGTGAGTGCATACGTCATAAAGGAGTTTACTGAGAATGTTTTCTGTCTAGTGGTTATGGGAAGATATTTGCTTTTTCACCGTAGGCCTCAGAGCGCTCCAAATATCCACTTGCACATACTACAAAAAGAGTGCTTCAAAGCTGGTCTCTGAAACGGAATGTTCAACTCTATGAGTTGAATGCAAACATCACAAAGACGTTTCTGAGAATGCTTCTGTCTAGATTTGATATGAAGATATTCCCGTTTCCAATGACATCTTCAAATCTATCCAAATGTCCACTTGCAGATTCAACAAAACGTGTTTTTCAGAACTGCTCTATCAAAAGAAAGATCCACCTCTGTTAGCTGAGTTCACACATCACAAACAAGTTTATGAGAATGCTTCTGTCTAGTTTTTATTTGAAGATATATCCTTTCTCACTATAGACCTGAAAGCTCTCATAAAGTTCACTTCCAGATACTACAGAAAGAGTGTTTCAAAAATGCTGTACGAAAGGGAATGTTCAACTCTGTGACTTGAATGCACACATCACAAGGAAGTTTCTGAGGATGCTGCTGTCTACTTTTTATACCGTAATCCCGTTTCCAACGAAATCCTCCAAGCTATCCAAATATCCACTTGCAGATTCCACAGAAAGACTGTTTCAAAACTGCTCTGTCAATAGAAAGGTTCAACTCTATTAGCTGCGTACATATATCCCAAAGAAGATTCTGAGATTGCTTCTGTCTAGTTTTTATGGGAAGATATTTCCCTTTTCACCGTAGGCGTCAAGGCGCTCCAAATATCCACTTCCAGATACTACAAAAAGAGTGTTTCAAACCTACTCTATGAAAGCGAATATTCAACTCTGTGACTTGAATACACATATCACAAAGAAGTTTCTGAGAATGCTTCTGTCGAGATTTTATATGAAGATATTCCCGTTTCCAACGAAATCCTGAAATCTATCCAAATATCCCCTCGCAGATTCTACAAAAAGAGTGTTTCAAAAGTGCTCTGTAAAAAGAAAGGTTCAACTCTGTTAGTTGAGTACACACATCACAAACAAGTTTCAGAGAATGCTTCTTTCTAGCTTGTAGGGGAAGATATTCCCTTTATCACCATGGGCCTCAAACCGTCCGAAAAGTCCACTTCCATATACTACAAAAAGAGCGTTTCAAACCTGCTCTATGAAAGGCAATGTTCAACTCTGTGACTTGAATGCAGACATCACAGAGCAGTTTCTGAGAATCCTTCTGTATAGATTTTATAGGAAGATATTCCCGTTTCCAACGAAATCTTCACAGCTATCCAAATATCCACTTGCAGATTCTACAAAAAGAGTGTATCAAAACTGCTCTGTCAAAAGGAAGGTTCTTCTCTGTTAGGTGAGTGCATACGTCATAAAGGAGTTTCTGAGAATGTTTCTGTCTAGTGGTTATGGGAAGATATTTGCTTTTTCACCGTAGGCCTCAGAGCGCTCCAAATATCCACTTGCACATACTACAAAAAGAGTGTTTCAAAGCTGCTCTCTGAAAGGGAATGTTCAACTCTATGAGTTGAATGCAAACATGACAAAGACGTTTCTGAGAATGCTTTCTGTCTAGATTTGATATGAAGATATTCCCGTTTCCAAAGAAATCTTCAAATCTATCCAAATGTCCACTTGCAGATTCAACAAAGTGTTTTTCAGAACTGCTCTATCAAAAGAAAGATCCACCTCTGTTAGCTGAGATCACACTTCACAAACAAGTTTATCAGAATGCTTCTGTCTAGCTTTTATTTGAAGATATATCCTTTCTCACTATAGACCTGAAAGCTCTCCTAAAGTTCACTTCCAGATACTACAGAAAGAGTGTTTCAAAACTGCTGTAGGAAAGGGAATGTTCAACTCTGTGACTTGAATGCACACATCACAAGGATGTTTCTGAGGATGCTGCTGTCTACTTTTTATACTTAATCCCGTTTCCAACGAAATCCTCCAAGCTATCCAAATATCCACTTGCAGATTCCACAGAAAGACTGTTTCAAAACTGCTCTGTCAATAGAAAGGTTCAACTCTGTTAGCTGCGTGCATATATCCCAAAGAAGATTTCTGAGATTGCTTTCTGTCTACTTTTTATGAGAAGATATTTCCCTTTTCACCGTAGGCATCAAGGCGCTCCAAAAGTCCACTTCCAGATACTACAAAAAGTGTGTTTCAAACCTACTCTGTGTAAGGGAATATTCAACTCTGTGACTTGAATGCACATATCACAACGAAGCTTCTGAGAATGCTTCTGTCGAGATTTTATATGAAGATATTCCCGTTTCCAACGAAATCCTGAAATCTATCCAAATATCCGCTCGCAGATTCTACAAAAAGAGTGTTTCAAAACTGCTCTGTGAAAAGAAAGGTTCAACTCTGTTAGTTGAGTACACACATCACAAACAAGTTTCACAGAATGCTTCTTTCTAGCTTGTAGGGGAAGATATTCCCTTTATCACCATGGGACTCCAACCGTCCGAAACATCCACTTCCATATACTACAAAAAGAGCGTTTCAAACCTGCTCTATGAAAGGCAATGTTGAACTCTGTGACTTGAATGCAGACATCACAGAGCAGTTTCTGAGAATGCTTCTGTCTAGATTTTATAGGAAGATATTCCCGTTTCCAACGAAATCTTCACAGCTATCCAAATATCCACTTTCAGATTCTACAAAAAGAGTGTATCAAAAGTGGTCTGTCAAAAGGAAGGTTCTTCTCTGTTAGGTGAGTGCATACGTCATAAAGGAGTTTCTGAGAATGTTTCTGTGTAGTGGTTATGGGAAGATATTTGCTTTTTCACCGTAGGCCTCAGAGCGCTCCAAATATCCACTTGCACATACTACAAAAAGAGTGCTTCAAAGCTGCTCTCTGAAACGGAATGTTCAACTCTATGAGTTGAATGCAAACATCACAAAGACGTTTCCAAGAATGCTTCTGTCTAGATTTGATATGAAGATATTCCCGTTTCCAAGGAAATCTTCAAATCTATCCAAATGTCCACTTGCAGATTCAACAAAAAGTGTTTTTCAAAACTGCTGTATCAAAAGAAAGATCCACGTCTGTTAGCTGAGTTCACACATCACAAACAAGTTTATGAGAATGCTTCTGTCTAGTTTTTATTTGAAGATATTTCCTTTCTCACCATAGGAGCTGAAAGCTGTCCTAATGTTCACTTCCAGATACTACAGAAAGAGTGTTTCAAAACTGCTGTACGAAAGGGAATGTTCAACTCTGTGACTTGAATGCACACATCACAAAGAAGTTTCTGAGGATGCTGCTGTCTACTTTTTATACATAATCCCGTTTCCAACGAAATCCTCCAAGCTATCCAAATATCCACTTGCAGATTCCACAGAAAGACTGTTTCAAAACTGCTCTGTCAAAAGAAAGGTTCAACTCTGTTAGCTACGTGCATATATCCCAAAGAAGATTCTGAGATAGCTTCTGTCTAGTTTTGATGGGAAGATATTTCCCTTTTCACCGTAGGTGTCAAGGCGCTCCAAATGTCCACTTCCAGATACTACAAAAAGAGTGTTTCAAACCTACTCTGTGAAAGGGAATATTCAACTCTGTGACTTGAATGCACATATCACAAGGAAGTTTCTGAGAATGCTTCTGTCGAGATTTTATATGAAGATATTCCCGTTTCCAACGAAATCTTCAAATCTATCCAAATGTCCACTTGCAGATTCAACAAAAAGTGTTTTTCAGAACTGCTCTATCAAAAGAAAGATCCACCTCTGTTAGCTGAGTTCACACATCACAAACAAGTTGATGAGAATGCTTCTTTCTAGCTTGTAGGGGAAGATATTCCCTTTATCACCATGGGCCTCAAACCGTCCGAAACGTCCACTTCCATATACTACACAAAGAGCGTTTCAAACCTGCTCTAGGAAAGGCAATGTTCAACTCTGTGACTTGAATGCAGACATCACAGAGCAGTTTCTGAGAATGCTTCTGTCTAGATTTTATAGGAAGATATTCCCGTTTCCAACGAAATCTTCACAGCTATCCAAATATCCACTTGCAGATTCTACAAAAAGAGTGTATCAAAACTGCTCTGTCAAAAGGAAGGTTCTTCTCCGTTAGTTGAGTACATACGTCATAAAGGAGTTTCTGAGAATGTTCCTGTCTAGGGGATATGGGAAGATATTTGCTTTTTCCCCGTAGACCTCAAAGCGCTCCAAATGTCCACTTGCACATACTACAAAAAGAGTGCTTCAAAGCTGCTCTCTGAAAGGGAATGTTCAACTGTATGAGCTGAATGCTACCATCACAAAGACGTTTCTGAGAATGCTTCTGTCTAGATTTGATATGAAGATATTCCCGTTTCCAAAGAAATCTTCAAATCTATCCAAATGTCCACTTGCAGATTCAACAAAAAGTGTTTTTCAGAACTGCTCTATCAAAAGAAAGATCCACGTGTGTTAGCTGCGTTCACACATCACAAACAAGTTTATGAGAATGCTTCTGTCTAGTTTTTATTTGAAGATATTTCCTTTCTCACCATAGACCTGAAAGCTGTCCTAATGTTCACTTCCAGTTACTACAGAAAGAGTGTTTCAAAACTGCTGTACGAAAGGGAATGTTCAACTCTGTGACTTGAATGCACACATCACAAAGAAGTTTCTGAGGATGCTGCTGTCTAATTTTTACACGTAATCCCGTTTCCAACGAAATCCTCCAAGCTATCCAAATATCCACTTGCAGATTCCACAGAAAGACTGTTTCAAAACTGCTCTGTCAATAGAAAGGTTCAACTCTGTTAGCTGCGTGCAAATATCCCAAAGAAGTTTCTGAGATTGCTTCTGTCTAGTTTTTATGGGAAGATATTTCCCTTTTCACCGTAGGCGTCAAGGCGCTCCAAATGACCACTTCCAGATACTACAAAAAGAGTGTTTCAAACCTACTCTGTGAAAGGGAATATTCAACTCTGTGACTTGAATGCACATATCACAAGGAAAGTTTCTGAGAATGCTTCTGTCGAGATTTTATATTAAGATATTCCGGTTTCCAACAAAATCCTGAAATCTATCCAAATATCCCCTCGCAGATTCTACAAAAAGAGTGTTTCAAAACTGCTCTGTAAAAAGAAAGGTTCAACTCTGTTAGTTGAGTACACACATCACAAACAATTTTCACAGAATGCTTCTTTCTAGCTTGTAGGGGAAGTATATTCCCTTTATCACCATGGGCCTCAAACCGTCCGAAACGTCCACTTCCATATACTACAAAAAGAGCGTTTCAAACCTGCTCTATGAAAGGCAATGTTCAGCTCTGTGACTTGAATGCAGACATCACAGAGCAGTTTCTGAGAATGCTTCTGTCCGGACTTTATAGGAAGATATTCCCGATTCCAACGAAATCTTCACAGCTATCCAAATATCCACTTGCAGATACTACAAAAAGAGTGTATCAAAAATGCTCTGTCAAGAGGACAGTTCTTCTCTGCTAGTTCAGTACATACGTCATAAAGAAGTTTCTGAGAATGTTTCAGTCTAGTGGTTATGGGAAGATATTTGCTTTTTCACCGTAGGCCTCAGAGCGCTCCAAATATCCACTTGCACATACTACAAAAAGAGTGTTTCAAAGCTGCTCTCTGAAAGGGAATGTTCAACTCTATGAGTTGAATGCAAACATGACAAAGACGTTTCTGAGAATGCTTCTGTCTAGATTTGATATGAAGATATTCCCGTTACCAACGAAATCTTCAAATCTATCCAAATGTCCACTTGCAGATTCAACAAAAAGTGTTTTTCAGAACTGCTCTATCAAAAGAAAGATCCACCTCTGTTAGCTGAGTTCACACATCACAAACAAGTTTATGAGAATGCTTCTGTCTAGTTTTTATTTGAAGATATTTCCTTTCTCACCATAGACCTGAAAACTGTCCTAATGTTCACTTGCAGATACTACAGAAAGAGTGTTTCACAACTGCTGTACGAAAGGGAATGTTCAACTCTGTGACTTGAATGCACACATCACAAAGAAGTTTCTGAGGATGCTGCTGTCTACTTTTTATACGTAATCCCGTTTCCAACGAAATCCTCCAGGCTATCCAAATATCCACTTGCAGATTCCACAGAAAGACTGTTTCAAAACTGCTCTGTCAATAGAAAGGTTCAACTCTGTTAGCTGCATGCATATATCCCAAAGAAGATTCTGAGATTGCTTCTGTCTAGTTTTTATGGGAAGATATTTCCCTTTTCACCGTAGGCGTCAAGGTGCTCCAAATGTCCACTTCCAGATATTACAAAAAGAGTGTTTCAAACCTACTCTGTGAAAGGGAATATTCAACTCTGTGACTTGAATGCACATATCACAAAGAAGTTTCTGAGAATGCTTCTGTCGAGATTTTATATGAAGATATTCCCGTTTCCAACGAAATCCTGAAATCTATCCAAATATCCCCTCGCAGATTCTACAAAAAGAGTGTTTCAAAACTGTTCTGTAAAAAGAAAGGTTCAACTCTGTTAGTTGAGTACACACATCACAAACAAGTATCACAGAATGCTTCTTTCTAGCTTGTAGGGGAAGATATTCCCTTTATCACCATGGTCCTCAAACCGTCCGAAACGTCCTCTTCCATATAGTACAAAAAGAGCGTTTCTAACCTGCTCTATGAAAGTCAATGTTCAACTCTGTGACTTGAATGCACACATCACAGAGCAGTTTCTGAGAATGCTTCTGTCTAGATTATATAGGAAGATATTCCCGTTTCCAACGAAATCTTCACAGCTATCCAAATATCCACTTGCAGATTCTACAAAAAGAGTGTATCAAAACTGCTCTGTCAAAAGGAAGGTTCTTCTCTGTTAGTTGAGATGACATACGTCATAAGAGGAGTTTCTGAGAATGTTTCTGTCTAGTGGTTATGGGAAGATATTTGCTCTTTCACCGTAGGCCTCAGAGCGCTCCAAATATCCACTTGCACATACTACAAAAAGAGTGCCTCAAAGCTGCTCTCTGAAACGGAGTGTTCAACTCTATGAGTTGAATGCAAACATCGCAAAGACGTTTCTGAGAATGCTTCTGTCTAGATTTGATATGAAGATATTCCCGTTTCCAACGAAATCTTCAAATCTATCCAAATGTCCACTTGCAGATTCAACAAAAAGTGTTTTTCAGAACTGCTCTATCAAAAGAAAGGTCCACCTCTGTTAGCTGAGTTCACACATCACAAACAAGTTTATGAGAATGCTTCCGTCTAGTTTTTATTTGAAGATATATCCTTTCTAACTATAGACCTGAAAGCTGTCCTAAAGTTCACTTCCAGATACTACAGAAAGAGTGTTTCAAAACTGCTGTACGAAAGGGAATGTTCAACTCTGTGACTTGAATGCACACATCACAAGGATGTTTACTGAGGATGCTGCTGTCTACTTTTTATACGTAATCCCGTTTCCAACGAAATCCTCCAAGCTATCCAAATATCCACTTGCAGATTCCACAGAAAGACTGTTTCAAAACTGCTCTGTCAATAGAATGGTTCAACTCTGTTAGCTGCGTGCATATATCCCAAAGAAGATTCTGAGATTGCTTCTGTCTAGTTTTGATGGGAAGATATTTCCCTTTTCACCGTAGGCGTCAAGGCGCTCCAAATGACCACTTCCAGATACTACAAAAAGAGAGTTTCAAACCTACTCTGTGAAAGGGAATATTCAACTCTGTGACTTGAATGCACATATCACAAGGAAGTTTCTGAGAATGCTTCTGTCGAGATTTTATATGAAGATATTCCCGTTTCCAACGAAATCCTGAAATCTATCCAAATATCCCCTCGCAGATTCTACAAAAAGAGTGTTTCAAAACTGCTCTGTAAAAAGAAAGGTCCAACTCTGTTAGTTGAGTACACACATCACAAACAAGTTTCACAGAATGCTTCTTTCTAGCTTGTAGGGGAAGATATTCCCTTTATCACCATGGGCCTCAAACCGTCCGAAACGTCTACTTCCATATACTACAAAAAGAGCGTTTCAAACCTACTCTATGAAAGGCAATGTTCAACTCTGTGACTTGAATGCAGACATCACAGAGCAGTTTCTGAGAATGCTTCTGTCTGGATTTTATAGGAAGATATTCCCGTTTCCAATGAAATCTTCACAGCTATCCAAATATCCACTTGCAGATTCTACAAAAAGAGTGTATCAAAACTGCTCTGTCAAAAGGAAGGTTCTTCTCTGTTAGTTGAGTACATACGTCATAAAGGAGTTTCTGAGAATGTTTCTGTCTAGTGGTTATGGGAAGATATTTGCTTTTTCACCTTAGGCCTCAGAGCGCTCCAAATATCCCCTTGCACATACTACAAAAAGAGTGCTTCAAAGCTGCTCTCTGAAAGGGAATGTTCAACTCTATGAGTTGAATGCAAACATCACAAAGACGTTTCTGAGAATGCCTATCTGTCTAGATTTGATATGAAGATATTCCCGTTTCCAAAGAAATCTTCAAATCTATCCAAATGTCCACTTGCAGATTCAACAAAAAGTGTTTTTCAGAACTGCTCTATCAAAAGAAAGATCCACCTCTGTTAGCTGAGTTAACACATCACAAACAAGTTTATGAGAATGCTTCTGTCTAGTTTTTATTTGAAGGTATTTCCTTTCTCACCCTAGACCTGAAAGCTGTCCTAATGTTCACTTCCAGATACTACAGAAAGAGTGTTTCAAAACTGCTGTACGAAAGGGAATGTTCAACTGCTGTGACTTGAATGCACACATCACAAAGAAGTTTCTGAGGATGCTGCTGTCTAATTTTTATACGTAATCCCGTTTCCAACGAAATCCTCCAAGCTATCCAAATATCCACTTACAGATTCCACAGAAAGACTGTTTCAAAACTGCTCTGTCAATAGAAAGGTTCAACTCTGTTAGCTGCGTGCATATATCCCAAAGAAGATTCTGAGATTGCTTCTGTCTAGTTTTTATGGGAAGATATTTCCCTTTTCACCGTAGGTGTCAAGGCGCTCCAAATGTCGACTTCCAGATACTACAAAAAGAGTGTTTCAAACCTACTCTGTGAAAGGGAATATTCAACTCTGTGACTTGAATGCACATATCACAAGGAAGTTTCTGAGAATGCTTCTTTCGAGATTTTATATGAAGATATTCCCGTTTCCAACGAAATCCTGAAATCTATCCAAATATCCCCTCGCAGATTCTACAAAAAGAGTGTTTCAAAACTGCTCTGTAAAAAGAAAGGTTCAAATCTATTAGTTGAGTACACACATCACAAACAAGTTTAACAGAATGCTTCTTTCTAGCTTGTAGGGGAAGATTCCCCTTTATCACCATGGTCCTCAAACCGTCCGAAAAGTCCACTTCCATATACTACAAAAAGAGCATTTCAAACCTGCTGTATGAAAGGCAATGTTCAACTCTGTGACTTGAATGCAGACATCACAGAGCAGTTTCTGAGAATGCTTCTGTCTAAATTTTATAGGAAGATATTCCCGTTTCCAACGAAATCTTCACAGCTATCCAAATATCCACTTGCAGATTCTACAAAAAGAGTGTATCAAAACTGCTCTGTCAAAAGGAAGGTTCTTTTCTGTTAGGTGAGTGCATACGTCATAAAGGAGTTTCTGAGAATGCTTCTGTCTAGTGGTTATGGGAAGATATTTGCTTTTTCACCGTAGGCCTCAGAGCGCTCCAAATATCCACTTGCACATACTACAAAAAGAGTGCCTCAAAGCTGCTCTCTGAAACGGAATGTTCAACTCTATGAGTTGAATGCAAACATCGCAAAGACGTTTCGGAGAATGCTTCTGTCTAGATTTGATATGAAGATATTCCCGTTTCCAACGAAATCTTCAAATCTATCCAAATGTCCACTTGCAGATTCAACAAAAAGTGTTTTTCAGAACTGCTCTATCAAAAGAAAGATCCATCTCTGTTAGCTGAGTTCACACATCGCAAACAAGTTTATGAGAATGCTTCTGTCTAGTTTTTATTTGAAGATATTTCCTTTCTCACCATAGAGCTGAAAGCTGTCCTAATGTTCACTTCCAGATACTACAGAAAGAGTGTTTCAAAACTGCTGTACGAAAGGGAATGTTCAACTCTGTGACTTGAATGCACACATCACAAAGAAGTTTCGGAGGATGCTGCTGTCTACTTTTTATGCGTAATCCCGTTTCCAACGAAATCCTCCAAGCTATCCAAATATCCACTTGCAGATTCCACAGAAAGACTGTTTCAAAACTGGTCTGTCAATAGAAAGGTTCAACTCTGTTAGCTGCGTGCATATATCCCAAAGAAGATTCTGAGATTGCTTCTGTCTAGTTTTTATGGGAAGATATTTCCCTTTTCACCGTAGGTGTCAAGGAGCTACAAATGTCCACTTCCAGATACTACAAAAAGAGTGTTTCAAACCTACTCTGTGAAAGGGAATATTCAACTCTGTGACTTGAGTGCACATATCACAAAGAAGTTTCAGAGAATGCTTCTGTCGAGATTTTCTATGAAGATATTCCCGTTTCCAACGAAATCCTGAAATCTATCCAAATATCCCCTCGCAGATTCTACAAAAAGAGTGTTTCAAAACTGCTCTGTAAAAAGAAAGGTTCAACTCTGTTAGTTGAGTACACACATCACAAACAAGTTTCACAGAATGCTTCTTTCTAGCTTGTAGGGAAAGATATTTCCCTTTAACACCATGGGCCTCAAACCGTCCGAAACGTCCACTTCCATATACTACAAAAAGAGCGTTTCAAACCTGCTCTAGGAAAAGCAATGTTCAACTCTGTGACTTGAATGCAGACATCACAGAGCAGTTTCTGAGAATGCTTCTGTCTAGATTTTATAGGAAGATATTCCCGTTTCCAACGAAATCTTCACAGCTATCCTAATATCCACTTGCAGATTCTACAAAAAGAGTGTATCCAAACTACTCTGTCAAAAGGAAGGTTCTTCTCTGTTAGGTGAGTGCATACGTCATAAAGGAGTTTCTGAGAATGTTTCTGTCTAGTGGTTATGGGAAGATATTTGCTTTTTCACCGTAGGCCTCACAGCGCTCCAAATATCCACTTGCACATACTACAAAAAGAGGTGCTTCAAAGCTGCTCTCTGAAAGGGAATGTTCAACTCTATGAGTTGAATGCAAACATCACAAAGACGTTTCTGAGAATGCTTCTGTCTACATTTGATATGAAGATATTCCCGTTTCCAACGAAATCTTCAAATCTATCCAAATGTCCACTTGCAGATTCAACAAAAAGTGTTTTTCAGAACTGCTCTATCAAAAGAAAGATCCACCTCTGTTAGCTGAGTTCACACATCACAAACAAGTTTATGAGAATGCTTCTGTCTTGTTTTTATTTGAAGATATTTCCTTTCTCACCATAGACCTGAAAGCTGTCCTAATGTTCACTTCCAGATACTACAGAAAGAGTGTTTCAAAACTGCTGTACGAAAGGGAATGTTCAACTCTGTGACTTGAATGCACACATCACAAAGAAGTTTCTGAGGATGCTGCTGTCTACTTTTTATACGTAATCCCGTTTCCAACGAAATCCTCCAAGCTATCCAAATATCCACTTGCAGATTCCACAGAAAGACTGTTTCAAAACTGCTCTGTCAATAGAAAGGTTCAACTCTATTAGCTGCGTACATATATCCCAAAGAAGATTCTGAGATTGCTTCTGTCTAGTTTTTATGGGAAGATATTTCCCTTTTCTCCGTAGGCGTCAAGGCGCTCCAAATGTCCACTTCCAGATACTACAAAAAGAGTGTTTCAAACCTACTCTGTGAAAGGGAATATTCAACTCTGTGACTTGAATGCACATATCACAAAGAAGTTTCTGAGAATGCTTCTGTCGAGATTTTATATGAAGATATTCCCGTTTCCAACGAAATCCTGAAATCTATCCAAATAACCCCTCGCAGATTCTACAAAAAGAGTGTTTCAAAACTGCTCTGTAAAAAGAAAGGTTCAACTCTGTAAGATGAGTACACACACCACAAACAAGTTTCACAGAATGCTTCTTTCTAGCTGGTAGGGGAAGATATTCCCTTTATCACCATGGGCCTCAAACCGTCCGAAACGTCCACTTCCATATACTACAAAAAGAGGGTTTCAAACCTGCTCTATGAAAGGCAATGTTCAACTCTGTGACTTGAATGCAGACATCACAGAGCAGTTTCTGAGAATGCTTCTGTCCAGACTTTATAGGAAGATATTCCCGTTTCCAACGAAATCTTCACAGCTATCCAAATATCCACTTGCAGATAGTACAACAAGAGTGTATCAAAAATGCTCTGTCAAAAGGAAAGTTCTTCTCTACTAGTTGAGTACATACGTCATAAAGAAGTTTCTGAGAATGTTTCTGTCTAGTGGTTATGGGAAGATATTTGCTTTTTCACCTTAGGCCTCAGAGCGCTCAAAATATCCCCTTGCACATACTACAAAAAGAGCGCTTCAAAGCTGCTCTCTGAAACGGAATCTTCAACTCTATGGGTTGAATGCAAACATCACAAACACGTTTCTGAGAATGCTTCTGTCTAGATTTGATATGAAGATATTCCCGTTTCCAACGAAATCTTCAAATCTATCCAAATGTCCACTTGCAGATTCAACAAAAAGTGTTTTTCAGAACTGCTCTATCAAAAGAAAGATCCACCTCGGTTAGCTGAGTTCACACATCACAAACAGGTTTATGAGAATGCTTCTATCTAGTTTTTATTTGAAGATATTGCCTTTCTCACCATAGACCTGAAAGCTGTCCTAATGTTCACTTCCAGATACTACAGAAAGAGTGTTTCAAAACTGCTGTACGAAAGGGAATGTTCAACTCTGTGACTTGAATGCACACATCACAAAGTAGTTTCTGAGGATGCTGCTGTCTACTTTTTATACGTAATGACGTTTCCAACGAAATCCTCCAAGCTATCCAAATATCCACTTGCAGATTCCACAGAAAGACTGTTTCAAAACTGCTCTGTCAATAGAAAGGTTCAACTCTGTTAGCTGCGTGCATATATCCCAAAGAAGATTCTGAGATTGCTTCTGTCTAGTTTTTATGGGAAGATATTTCCCTTTTCACCGTAGGTGTCAAGGCGCTCCAAATGTCCACTTCCAGATACTACAAAAAGAGTGTTTCAAACCTACCCTGTGAAAGGGAATATTCAACTCTGTGACTTGAATGCAGATATCACAATGAAGTCTCTGAGAATGCTTCTGTCGAGATTTTATATGAAGATATTCCCGTTTCCAACGAAATCCTGAAATCTATCCAAATATCCCCTCGCAGATTCTACAAAGGGTGTTTCAAAACTGCTCTGTAAAAAGAAAGGTTCAACCCTGTTAGTTGAGTACACACATCACAAACAAGTTTCACAGAATGCTTCTTTCTAGCTTGTAGGGGAAGATATTCCCTTTATCACCATGGGCCTCAAACCGTCCGAAACGTCCACTTCCACATACTACAAAAAGAGCGTATCATACCTGCTCTATGAAAGGCAATGTTGAACTCTGTGACTTGAATGCAGACATCACAGAGCAGTTTCTGAGAATGCTTCTGTCTAGATTTTATAGGAAGATATTCCCGTTTCCAACGAAATCTTCACAGCTATCCAAATATCCACTTGCAGATTCTACCAAAAGAGTGTATGAAAACTGCTCTGTCAAAAGAAAGGTTCTTCTCTGTTAGGTGAGTGCATACGTCATAAACGGAGTTTCTGAGAATGTTTCTGTCTAGTGGTTATGGGAAGATATTTGCTTTTTCACCGTAGGCCTCAGAGCGCTCCAAATATCCACTTGCACATACTACAAAAAGAGTGCCTCAAAGCTGCTCTCTGAAACGGAATGTTCAACTCTATGAGTTGAATGCAAACATCGGAAAGACGTTTCTGAGAATGCTTCTGTCTAGATTTGATATGAAGATATTCCCGTTTCCAACGAAATCTTCAAATCTATCCAAATGTCCACTTGCAGATTCAACAAAAAGTGTTTTTCAGAACTGCTGTATCAAAAGAAAGATCCACCTCTGTTAGCTGAGTTCACACATCACAAACAAGTTTATGAGAATGCTTCTGTCTAGTTTTTATTTGAAGATATTTCCTTTCTCACCATAGACCTGAAAGCTGTCCTAATGTTCACTTCCAGATACTACAGAAAGAGTGTTTCAAAACTGCTGTGGGAAAGGGAATGTTCAACTCTGTGACTTGAATGCACACATCACAAAGAAGTTTCTGAGGATGCTGCTGTCTACTTTTTATACTTAATCCCGTTTCCAACGAAATCCTCCAAGCTATCCAAATATCCACTTGCAGATTCCACAGAAAGACTGTTTCAAAACTACTCTGTCAATAGAAAGGTTCAACTCTGTTAGCTGCGTGCATATATCCCAAAGAAGATTCTGAGATTGCTTCTGTCTAGTTTTTATGGAAGATATTTCCCTTTTCACCGTAGGCGTCAAGGCGCTCCAAATGTCCACTTCCAGATACTACAAAAAGAGTGTTTCAAACCTACTCTGTGAAAGGGAATATTCAACTCTGTGACTTGAATGCAGATATCACAAAGAAGTTTCTGAGAATGCTTCTGTCGAGATTTTATATGAAGATATTCCCGTTTCCAACGAAATGCTGAAATGTATCCAAATATCCCCTCGCAGATTCTACAAAAAGAGTGTTTCAAAACTGCTCTGTAAAAAGAGAGGTTCAACTCTGTTAGTTGAGTACACACATCACAAACAAGTTTCACAGAATGCTTCTTTCTAGCTTGTAGGGGAAGATATTCCCTTTATCACCATGGGCCTCAAACCGTCCGATAAGTCCACTTCCATATACTACAAAAAGAGCGTTTCAAACCTGCTCTATGAAAGGCAATGTTCAACTCTGTGACTTGAATGCAGACATCCCAGAGCAGTTTCTGAGAATGCTTCTGTCTAGATTTTATAGGAAGATATTCCCGTTTCCAACGAAATCTTCACAGGTATCCAAATATCCACTTGCAGATTCTACAAAAAGAGTGTATCAAAACTGCTCTGTCAAAAGGAAGGTTCTTCTCTGTTAGGTGAGTGCATACGTCATAAAGGAGTTTCTGAGAATGTTTCTGTCTAGTGGTTATGGGAAGATATTTGCTTTTTCACCGTAGGCCTCAGAGCGCTCCAAATATCCACTTGCACATACTACAAAAAGAGTGCTTCAAACCTGCTCTCTGAAACGGAATGTTCAACTCTATGAGTTGAATGCAAACATCACAAAGACGTTTTCTGAGAATGCTTCTGTCTAGATTTGATATGAAGATATTCCCGTTTGGAACGAAATCTTCAAATCTATCCAAATGTCCACTTGCAGATTCAACAAAAAGTGTTTTTCAGAACTGCTCTATCAAAAGAAAGATCCACCTCTGTTAGCTGAGTTCACACATCACAAACAAGTTTATGAGAATGCTTCTGTCTAGTTTTTATTTGAAGGTATTTCCTTTCTCACCATCGACCTGAAAGCTGTCCTAATGTTCACTTCCAGATACTACAGAAAGAGTGTTTCAAAACTGCTGTACGAAAGGGAATGTTCAACTCTGTGACTTGAATGCACACATCACAAAGAAGTTTCTGAGGATGGTGCTGTCTACTTTTTATACGTAATCCCGTTTCCAACGAAATCCTCCAAGCTATCCAAATATCCACTTGCAAATTCCACAGAAAGACTGTTTCAAAACTGCTCTGTCAATAGAAAGGTTCAACTCTGTTAGCTGCGTGCATATATCCCAAAGAAGATTCTGAGATTGCTTCTGTCTAGTTTTTATGGGAAGATATTTCCCTTTTCACCGTAGGTGTCAAGGCGCTCCAAATGTCCACTTCCAGATACTACAAAAAGAGTGTTTCAAACCTACTCTGTGAAAGGGAATATTCAACTGCTGTGACTTAAAGGCAGATATCACAAAGAAGTTTCTGAGAATGCTTCTGTCGAGATTTTATATGAAGATATTCCCGTTTCCAACGAAATGCTGAAATGTATCCAAATATCCCCTCGCAGATTCTACAAAAAGAGTGTTTCAAAACTGCTCTGTAAAAAGAAAGGTTCAACTCTGTTAGTTGAGTACACACATCACAAACAAGTTTCACACAATGCTTCTTTTTAGCTTGTAGGGGAAGATATTCCCTTTATCACCATGGGCCTCAAACCGTCCGAAACGTCCACTTCCATATACTACAAAAAGAGCGTTTCAAACCTGCTCTATCAAAGGCAATGTTCAACTCTGTGACTTGAATGCAGACATCACAGAGCAGTTTCTGAGAATGCTTCTGTCTAGATTTTATAGGAAGATATTCCCGTTTCCAACGAAATCTTCACAGCTATCCAAATATCCACATGCAGATTCTACAAAAAGAGTGTATCAAAACTGCTCTGTCAAAAGGAAGGTTCTTCTCTGTTAGGTGAGTGCATACGTCATAAAGGAGTTTCTGAGAATGTTTCTGTCTAGTGGTTATGGGAAGATATTTGCTTTTTCCCCGTAGGCCTCAGGGCGCTCCAAATGTCCACTTGCACATGCTACAAAAAGAGTGCTTCAAAGCTGCTCTCTGAAAGGGAATGTTCAACTCTATGAGTTGAATGCAAACATCACAAAGACGTTTCTGAGAATGCTGTCTGTCTAGATTTGATATGAAGATATTCCCGTTTCCAACGAAATCTTCAAATCTATCCAAATGTCCACTTGCAGATTCAACAAAAAGTGTTTTTCAGAACTGCTCTATCAAAAGAAAGATCCACCTCTGTTAGCTGAGTTCACACATCACAAAAAAGTTTATGAGAATGCTTCTGTCTAGTTTTTATTTGAAGATATTTCCTTTCTCACCGTAGTGCTGAAAGCTGTCCTAATGTTCACTTCCAGATACTACAGAAAGAGTGTTTCAAAACTGCTGTACGAAAGGGAATGTTCAACTCTGTGACTTGAATGCACACATCACAAAGAAGTTTCTGAGAATGCTTCTGTCGAGATTTTATATGAAGATATTCCCGTTTCCAACGAAATCCTGAAATCTATCCAAATATCCCCTTGCAGATTCTACAGAAAGAGTGTTTCAAAACTGCTCTCTAAAAAGAAAGGTTCAACTCTGTTAGTTGAGTACAAACATCACAAACAAGTTTCACAGAATGCTTCTGTCTAGTTTTTATGGGAAGATATTTCCCTTTTCACCATAAGTGTCAAGGCGCTCCAAATGTCCACTTCCTGATACTACAAAAAGAGTGTTTCAAACCTACTCTGTGAAAGGGAATATTCAACTCTGTGACTTGAATACACATATCACAAAGAAGTTTCTGAGAATGCTTCTGTCGAGATTTTATATGAAGATATTCCCGTTTCCAACAAAATCCTGAAATCTATACAAATATCCCCTCGCAGATTCTACAAAAAGAGTGTTTCAAAACTGCTCTGTAAAAAGAAAGGTTCAACTCTGTTAGTTGAGTACACACATCACAAACAAGTTTCACAGAATGCTTCTTTCTAGCTTGTAGGGGAAGATATTCCCTTTATCACCATGGGCCTCAAACCGTCCGAAACGTCCACTTTTATATACTACAAAAAGAGCGTTTCAAACCTGCTCTATGAAAGGCAATGTTCAACTCTGTGACTTGAATGCAGACATCACAGAGCAGTTTCTGAGAATGCTTCTGTCTAGATTTTATAGGAAGATATTCCCGTTTCCAAAGAAATCTTCACAGCTATCCAAATATCCACTTGCAGATTCTACAAAAAGAGTGTATCAAAACTGCTCTGTCAAAAGGAAGGTTCTTCTCTGTTAGATGAGTGCATACGTCATAAAGGAGTTTCTGAGAATGTTTCTGTCTAGTGGTTATGGGAAGATATTTGCTTTTTCACCGTAGGCCTCAGAGCGCTCCAACTATCCACTTGCACATACTACAAAAAGAGTGCCTCAAAGCTGCTCTCTGAAATGGAATGTTCAACTCTATGAGTTGAATGCAAACATCACAAAGAAGTTTCTGAGAATGCTTCTGTCTAGATTTGATATGAAGATATTCCCGTTTCCAACGAAATCTTCAAATCTATCCAAATGTCCAATTGCAGATTCAACAAAAAGTGTTTTTCAGATCTGCTCTATCAAAAGAAAGATCCATCTCTGTTAGCTGAGTTCACACATCACAAACAAGTTTATGAGAATGCTTCTGTCTAATTTTTATTTGAAGATATTTCCTTTCTCACCATAGACCTGAAAGCTGTCCTAATGTTCACTTCCAGATACTATAGAAAGAGTGTTTCAAAACTGCTCTACGAAAGGGAATGTTCAACTCTGTGACTTGAATGCACACATCACAAAGAAGTTTCTGAGGATGCTGCTGTCTACTTTTTATACGTAAACCCGTTTCCAACGAAATCCTCCAAGCTATCCAAATATCCACTTGCAGATTCCACAGAAAGACTGTTACAAAACTGCTCTGTCAATAGAAAGGTTCAACTCTGTTAGCTGCGTGCATATATCCCAAAGAAGATTCTGAGATTGCTTCTGTCTAGTTTTTATGGGAAGATATTTCCCTTTTCACCGTGGGCGTCAAGGCGCTCCAAATGTCCACTTCCAGATACTACAAAAAGAGTGTTTCAAACCTACTCTGTGAAAGGGAATATTCAACTCTGTGACTTGAATGCACATATCACAAAGAAGTTTCTGAGAATGCTTCTGTCGAGATTTTATATGAAGATATTCCCGTTTCCAACGAAATGCTGAAATCTATCCAAATATCCCCTCGCAGATTCTACAAAAAGAGTGTTTCAAAACTGCTCTGTAAAAAGAAAGGTTCAACTCTGTTAGTTGAGTACACACATCACAAACAAGTTTCACACAATGGTTCTTTCTAGCTTGTAGGGGAAGATATTCCCTTTATCACCATGGGCCTCAAACCGTCCGAAACGTCCAACTTCCATATACTAGAAAAAGAGCGTTTCAAACCTGCTCTATGAAAGGCAATGTTCAACTCTGTGACTTGAATGCAGACATCACAGAGCAGTTTCTGAGAATGCTTCTGTCTAGATTTTATATTCCCGTTTCCAACAAAATCTTCACAGCTATCCAAATATCCACTTGCAGATTCTACAAAAAGAGTGTATCAAAACTGCTCTGTCAAAAGGAAGGTTCTTCTCTGTTAGTTGAGTACATACGTCATAAAGGAGTTTCTGAGAATGTTTCTGTCTAGTGGTTATGGGAAGATATTTGATTTTTCACCGTAGGCCTCAGAGCGCTCCAAATATCCACTTGCACATACTACAAAAAGAGTGCTTCAAAGCTGCTCTCTGAAAGGGAATGTTCAACTCTATGAGTTGAATGCAAACATCACAAAGACGTTTCTGAGAATTCTTCTGTCTAGATTTGATATGAAGATATTCCCGTTTCCAAGGAAATCTTCAAATCTATCCAAATGTACACTTGCAGATTCAACAAAAAGTGTTTTTCAGAACTGCTCTATCAAAAGAAAGATCCACCTCTGTTAGCTGAGTTCACACATCACAAACAAGTTTATGAGAATGCTTCTGTCTAGTTTTTATTTGAAGATATATCCTTTCTCACTATAGACCTGAAAGCTCTCCTAAAGTTCACTTCCAGATACTACAGAAAGAGTGTTTCAAAACTGCTGTACGAAAGGAAATGTTCAACTCTGTGACTTGAATGCACACATCACAAGGATGTTTCTGAGGATGCTGCTGTCTACTTTTTATACGTAATCCCGTTTCCAACGAAATCCTCCAGGCTATCCAAATATCCACTTGCAGATTCCACAGAAAGACTGTTTGAAATCTGCTCTGTCAATAGAAAAGTTCAACTCTATTAGCTGCGTGCATATATCCCAAAGAAGATTCTGAGATTGCTTCTGTCTAGTTTTTATGAGAAGATATTTCCCTTTTCACCGTAGGCGTCAAGGCGCTCCAAATGTCCACTTCCAGATACTACAAAAAGAGTGTTTTAAACCTACTCTGTGAAAGGGAATATTCAACTCTGTGACTTGAATGCACATATCACAAAGAAGTTTCTGAGAATGCTTCTGTCGAGATTTTATATGAAGATATTCCCGTTTCCAATGAAATCCTGAAATCTATCCAAATATCCCCTCGCAGATTCTACAAAAAGAGTGTTTCAAAACTGCTCTGTAAAAAGAAAGGTTCAACCCTGTTAGTTGAGTACACACATCACAAACAAGTTTCACAGAATGCTTCTTTCTAGCTTGTAGGGGAAGATATTCCCATTATCACCATGGGCCTCAAACCGTCCGAAACGTCCACTTCCATATACTACAAAAAGAGTGTTTCAAACCTGCTCTATGAAAGGCAATGTTCAACTCTGTGACTTGAATGCAGACATCACAGAGCACTTTCTGAGAATGCTTCTGTCTAGATTTTATAGGAAGATATTCCCGTTTCCAACGAAATCTTCACAGCTATCCAAATATCCACTTGCAGATTCTACAAAAAGAGTGTATCAAAACGGCTCTGTCAAAAGGAAGGTTCTTCTCTGTTAGTTGAGTACATACGTCATAAAGGAGTTTATGAGAATGTTTCTGTTTAGTGGTTATGGGAAGATATTTGCATTTTCACCTTAGGCCTCAGAGCGCTCCAAATATCCCCTTGCACATACTACAAAAAGAGTGCTTCAAAGCTGCTCTCTGAAACGGAATGTTCAACTCTATGAGTTGAATGCAAACATGACAAAGACGTTTCCGAGAATGCTTCTGTCTAGATTTGATATGAAGATATTCCCGTTTCCAACGAAATCTTCAAATCTATCCAAATGTCCACTTGCAGATTCAACAAAAAGTGTTTTTCAGTACTTCTCTATCAAAAGAAAGATCCACCTCTGTTAGCTGAGTTCACACATCACAAAAAGTTTATGAGAATGCTTCTGTCTCGTTTTTATTTAAAGATATTTCCTTTCTCACCATAGAGCTGAAAGCTGTCCTAATGTTCACTTCCAGATACTACAGAAAGAGTGTTTCAAAACTGCTGTACGAAAGGGAATGTTCAACTCTGTGACTTGAATGCACACATCACAAAGAAGTTTCTGAGGATGCTGCTGTCTACTTTTTATACTTAATCCCGTTTCCAACGAAATCCTCCAAGCTATCCAAATATCCACTTCCAGATTCCACAGAAAGACTGTTTCAAAACTGCTCTGTCAATAGAAAGGTTCAACTCTGTTAGCTGCGTGCATATATCCCAAAGAAGATTCTGAGATTGCTTCTGTCTAGTTTTTATGGGAAGATATTTCCCTTTTCACCGTAGGCGTCAAGGCGCTCAAAATGTCCACTTCCAGATACTACAAAAAGAGTGTTTCAAACCTACTCTGTGAAAGGGAGTATTCAACTCTGTGACTTGAATACACATATTCCAAAGAAGTTTCTGAGAATGCTTCTGTCGAGATTTTATATGAAGATATTCCCGTTTCCAACGAAATCCTGAAATCTATCCAAATATCCCCTCGCAGATTCTACAAAAAGAGTGTTTCAAAACTGCTCTGTAAAAAGAAAGGTTCAACTCTGTTAGTTGAGTACACACATCACAAGTTTCACAGAATGCTTCTTTCTAGCTTGTAGGGGAATGATATTCCCCTTATCACCATGGGCCTCAAACCGTCCGAAACGTCCACTTCCATATACTACAAAAAGAGCGTTTCAAACCTGCTCTATGAAAGGCAATGTTCAACTCTGTGACTTGAATGCAGACATCACAGAGCAGTTTCTGAGAATGCTTCTGTCTAGATTTTATAGGAAGATATTCCCGTTTCCAACAAAATCTTCACAGCTATCGAAATATCCACTTGCAGATTCTACAAAAAGAGTGTATCAAAACTGCTCTGTCAAAAGGAAGGTTCTTCTCTGTTAGGTGAGTGCATACGTCATAAAGGAGTTTCTGAGAATGTTTCTGTCTAGTGGTTATGGGAAGATATTTGCTTTTTCACCGTAGGCCTCAGAGCGCTCCAAATATCCACTTGCACATACTACAAAAAGAGTGTTTCAAAGCTGCTCTCTGAAAGGGAATGTTCAACTCTATGAGTTGAATGCAAACATGACAAAGACGTTTCTGAGAATGCTTCTGTCTAGATTTGATATGACGATATTCCCGTTTCCAAAGAAATCTTCAAATCTATCCAAATGTCCACTTGCAGATTCAACAAAACGTGTTTTTCAGAACTGCTCTATCAAAAGAAAGATCCACCTCTGTTAGCTGAGTTCACACATCACAAACAAGTTTATGAGAATGCTTCTGTCTAGTTTTTATTTGAAGATATTTCCTTTCTCACCAGAGACCTGAAAGCTGTCCTAATGTTCACTTCCAGATACTACAGAAAGAGTGTTTCAAAACTGCTGTACGAAAGGGAATGTTCAACTCTGTGACTTGAATGCACACATCACAAAGAAGTTTCTGAGGATGCTGCTGTCTACTTTTTATACGTAATCCCGTTTCCAACGAAATCCTCCAAGCTATCCAAATATCCACTTGCAGATTCCACAGAAAGACTGTATCAAAACTGCTCTGTCAATAGAAAGGTTCAACTCTGTTAGCTGCGTGCATATATCCCAAAGAAGATTCTGAGATTGCTTCTGTCTAGTTTTTATGGGAAGATATTTCCCTTTTCACCGTAGGTGTCAAGGCGCTCCAAATGTCCACTTCCAGATACTACAAAAAGAGTGTTTCAAACCTACTCTGTGAAACGGAATATTCAACTCTGTGACTTGAATGCAGATATCACAAAGAAGTTTCTGAGAATGCTTCTGTCGAGATTTTATATGAAGATATTCCCGGTTCCAACGAAATCCTGAAATCTCTCCAAATATCCCCTCGCAGATTCTACAAAAAGAGTGTTTCAAAACTGCTCTGTAAAAAGAAAGGTTCAACTCTGTTAGTTGAGTACACACATCACAAACAAGTTTCACAGAATGCTTCTTTCTAGCTTGTAGGGGAAGATATTCCCTTTATCACCATGGGCCTCCAACCGTCCGAAACATCCACTTACATATACTACAAAAAGAGCGTTTCAAACCTGCTCTATGAAAGGCAATGTTCAACTCTGTGACTTGAATACAGACATCACAGAGCAGTTTCTGAGAATGCTTCTGTCTAGATTTTATAGGAAGATATTCCCGTTTCCAACGAAATCTTCACAGCTATCCAAATATCCACTTGCAGACTCTACAAAAAGAGTGTATCAAAACTGCTCTGTCAAAAGGAAGGTTCTTCTCTGTTAGGTGAGTGCATACGTCATAAAGGAGTTTCTGAGAATGTTTCTGTCTAGTGGTTATGGGAAGATATTTGCTTTTTCACCGTAGGCCTCAGAGCGCTCCAAATATCCACTTGCACATACTACAAAAAGAGTGCCTCAAAGCTGCTCTCTGAATCGGAATGTTCAACTCTATGAGTTGAATGCAAACATCACAACGACGTTTCTGAGAATGCTTCTGTCTAGATTTGATATGAAGATATTCCCGTTTCCAACGAAATCTTCAAATCTATCCAAATGTCCACTTGCAGATTCAACAAAAAGTGTTTTTCAAAACTGCTGTATCAAAAGAACGATCCACGTCTGTTAGCTGAGTTCAGACATCACAAACAAGTTTATGAGAATGCTTCTGTCTAGTTTTTATTTGAAGATATTTCCTTTCTCACCATAGAGCTGAAAGCTGTCCTAATGTTCACTTCCAGATACTACAGAAAGAGTGTTTCAAAACTGCTGTACGAAAGGGAATGTTCAACTCTGTGACTTGAATGCACACATCACAAAGAATTTTCTGAGGATGCTCTGTCTACTTTTTATACGTAATCCCGTTTCCAACGAAATCCTCCAAGCTATCCAAATATCCACTTGCAGATTCCACAGAAAGACTGTTTCAAAACTGCTCTGTCAATAGAAAGGTTCAACTCTGTTAGCTGCGTGCATATATCCCAAAGAAGATTCTGAGATTGCTTTCTGTCTAGTTTTTATTGGAAGATATTTCCCTTTTCACTGTAGGCGTCAAGGCGCTCCAAATGTCCACTTCCAGATACTACAAAAAGAGTGTTTCAAACCTACTCTGTGAAAGGGAATATTCAACTCTGTGACTTGAATGCAGATATCACAAAGAAGTTTCTGAGAATGCTTCTGTCGAGATTTTATATGAAGATATTCCCGTTTCCAACGAAATCCTGAAATCTATCCAAATATCCCCTCGCAGATTCTACAAAAAGAGTGTTTCAAAAGTGCTCTGTAAAAAGAAAGGTTCAACTCTGTTAGTTGAGTACACACATCACAAACAAGTTTCACAGAATGCTTCTTTCTAGCTTCTAGGGGAAGATATTTCCTTTATCACCATGGGCCTCAAACCGTCCGAAACGTCCACTTCCATATACTAAAAAAAGAGTGCTTGAAACCTGCTCTATGAAAGGCAATGTTCAACTCTGTGACATGAAAGCAAACATCACAGAGCAGTTTCTGAGAATGCTTCTGTCCGGACTTTATAGGAAGATATTCCCGATTCCAACGAAATCTTCACAGCTATCCAAATATCCACTTGCAGATACTACAAAAAGAGTGTATCAAAAATGCTCTGTCAAGAGGACAGTTCTTCTCTGCTAGTTGAGTACATACGTCATAAAGAAGTTTCTGAGAATGTTTCTGTCTAGTGGTTATGGGAAGATATTTGCTTTTTCCCCGTAGGCCTCAGAGCGCTCCAAATGTCCACTTGCACATGCTACAAAAAGAGTGCTTCAAAGCTGCTCTCTGAAAGGGAATGTTCAACTCTATGAGTTGAATGTAAACATCACAAAGACGTTTCTGAGAATGCGTCTGTCTAGATTTGATATGAAGATATTCCCGTTTCCAACGAAATCTTCAAATCTATCCAAATGTCCACTTGCAGATTCAACAAAAAGTGTTTTTCAGAACTGCTCTATCAAAAGAAAGATCCACCTCTGTTAGCGGAGTTCACACATCACAAACAAGTTTATGAGAATGCTTCTGTCTAGTTTTTATTTGAAGATATTTCCTTTCTCACCATAGACCTGAAAGCTGTCCTAATGTTCACTTCCAGATACTACAGAAAGAGTGTTTCAAAACTGCTGTACGAAAGGGAAGTTCAACTCTGTGACTTGAATGCACACATCACAAAGAAGTTTCTGAGGATGCTGCTGTCTAATTTTTATACGTAATCCCGTTTCCAACGAAATCCTCCAATCTATCCACATATCCACTTGCAGATTCCACAGAAAGACTGTTTCAAAACTGCTCTGTCAATAGAAAGGTTCAACTCTGTTAGCTGCGTGCATATATCCCAAAGAAGATTCTGAGATTGCTTCTGTCTACTTTTTATGAGAAGATATTTCCCTTTTCACCGTACGCGTCAAGGCGCTCCAAATGTCCTCTTCCAGATACTACAAAAAGAGTGTTTCAAACCTACTCTGTGAAAGGGAACATTCAACTCTGTGACTTGAATGCACATATCACAAAGAAGTTTCTGAGAATGCTTCTGTCGAGATTTTATATGAAGATATTCCCGTTTCCAACTAAATGCTGAAATGTATCCAAATATCCCCTCGCAGATTCTACAAAAAGAGTGTTTCAAAACTGCTCTGTAAAAAGAAAGGTTCAACTCTGTTAGTTGAGTACACACATCACAAACAAGTTTCACAGAATGCTTCTTTCTAGCTTGTAGGGGAAGATATTCCCTTTATCACCATGGGCCTCAAACCGTCCGATAAGTCCACTTCCATATACTACAAAAAGAGCGTTTCAAACCTGCTCTATGAAAGGCAATGTTCAACTCTGTGACTTGAATGCAGACATCGCAGAGCAGTGTCTGAGAATGCTTCTGTCTAGATTTTATAGGAAGATATTCCCGTTTCCAACGAAATCTTCGCAGCTATCCAAATATCCACTTGCAGATTCTACAAAAAGAGTGTATCAAAACTGCTCTGTCAAAAGGAAGGTTCTTCTCTGTTAGGTGAGTGCATACGTCATAAAGGAGTTTCTGAGAATGTTTCTGTCTAGTGGTTATGGGAAGATATTTGCTTTTTCACCGTAGGCCTCAGAGCGCTCCAAATATCCACTTGCACATACTACAAAAAGAGTGCCTCACAGCTGCTCTCTGAAACGGAATGTTCAACTCTATGAGTTGAATGCAAACATCACAAAGACGTTTCTGAGAATGCTTCTGTCTAGATTTGATATGAAGATATTCCCGTTTCCAACGAAATCTTCATATCTATCCAAATGTCCACTTGCAGATTCAACAAAAAGTGTTTTTCAAAACTGCTGTATCAAAAGAAAGATCCACCTCTGTTAGCTGAGTTCACACATCACAAACAAGTTTATGAGAATGCTTCTGTCTAGTTTTTATTTGAAGATATTTCCTTTCTCATCATAGACCTGAAAGCTGTCCTATTGTTCACTTCAGATACTACAGAAAGAGTGTTTCAAAACTGTTGTACGAAAGGGAATGTTCAACCCTGTGACTTGAATGCACACATCACAAAGAAGTTTCTGAGGATGCTGCTGTCTACTTTTTATACGAAATCCCGTTTCCAACGAAATCCTCCAAGCTATCCAAATATCCAATTGCAGATTCCACAGAAAGACTGTTTCAAAACTGCTCTGTCAATAGAAAGGTTCAACTCTGTTAGCTGCGTGCATATATCCCAAAGGAGATTCTGAGATTGCTTGTGTCTACTTTTTATGAGAAGATATTTCCCTTTTCACCGTAGGCGTCAAGGCGCTCCAAATGTCCACTTCCAGATACTACAAAAAGAATGTTTCAAACCTACTCTGTGAAAGGGAATATTCAAGTCTGTGACTTGAATGCACATATCACAAAGAAGCTTCTGAGAATGCTTCTGTCGAGATTTTATATGAAGATATTCCCGTTTCCAACGAAATCCTGAAATGTATCCAAATATCCCCTTGCAGATTCTACAAAAGAGTGTTTCAAAACTGCTCTGTAAAAAGAAAGGTTCAACTCTGTTAGTTGAGTACACACATCACAAACAAGTTTCACACAATGCTTCTTTCTAGCTTGTAGGGGAAGATATTTCCTTTATCACCATGGGCCTCAAACCGTCCGAAACGTCCACTTCCATATACTACAAAAAGAGCGTTTCAAACCTGCTCTATGAAAGGCAATGTTCAACTGTGTGACTTGAATGCAGACATCACAGAGCAGTTTCTGAGAATGCTTCTGTCTAGATTTTATAGGAAGATATTCCCTTTTCCAACGAAATCTTCACAGCTATCCAAATATCCACTTGCAGATTCTACAAAAAGAGTGTATCAAAACTGCTCTGTCAAAAGGAAGGTTCTTCTCTGTTAGTTGAGTACATACGTCATAAAGGAGTTTCTGAGAATGTTTCTGTCTAGTGGTTATGGGAAGATATTTGCTTTTTCACCGTAGACCTCAGAGCGCTCCAAATATCCACTTGCACATACTACAAAAAGAGTGCTTCAAAGCTGCTCTCTAAAAGGGAATGTTCAACTCTATGAGTTGAATGCAAACATCACAAAGACGTTTCTGAGAATGCTTCTGTCTAGATTTGATATGAAGTTATTCCCGTTTCCAACGAAATCTTCAAATCTATCCAAATGTCCACTTGCAGATTCAACAAAACGTGTTTTTCAGACCTGCTCTATCAAAAGAAAGATCCACGTCTCTTAGCTGAGTTCACACATCACAAACAAGTTTATGAGAATGCTTCTGTCTAGTTTTTATTTGAAGATATTTCCTTTCTCACCATAGACCTGAAAGCTGTCCTAATGTTCACTTCCAGATACTACAGAAAGAGTGTTTCAAAACTGCTGTACGAAAGGGAATGTTCAACTCTGTGACTTGAATGCACACATCACAAAGAAGTTTCTGAGGATGGCTGTCTACTTTTTATACGTAATACCGTTTCCAACGAAATCCTCCAAGCTATCCAAATATCCACTTGCAGATTCCACAGAAAGACTGTTTCAAAACTGCTCTGTCAAAAGAAAGGTTCAACTCTGTTAGCTGCGTGCATATATCCCAAAGAAGATTCTGAGATTGCTTCTGTCTAGTTTTTATGGGAAGATATTTCCCTTTTCACCGTAGGCGTCAAGGCGCTCCAAATGTCCACTTCCAGATACTACAAAAAGAGTGTTTCAAACCTACTCTGTGAAAGGGAATATTCAACTCTGTGACTTGAATGCACATATCACAAAGATGTTTCTGAGAATGCTTCTGTCGAGATTTTATATGAAGATATTCCCGTTTCCAACGAAATCCTGAAATCTCTCCAAATATCCCCTCGCAGATTCTACAAAAAGAGTGTTTCAAAACTGCTCTGTAAAAAGAAAGGTTCAACTCTGTTAGTTGAGTACACACATCACAAACAAGTTTCACAGAATGATTCTTTCTAGCTTGTAGGGGAAGATATTCCCTTTATCACCATGGGCCTCAAACCGTCCGAAACGTCCACTTCCATATACTAAAAAAAGAGTGTTTCAAACCTGCTCTATGAAAGGCAATGTTCAACTCTGTGACTTGAATGAAGACATCACAGAGCAATTTCTGAGAATGCTTCTGTCTAGATTTTATAGGAAGATATTCCCGTTTCCAACGAAATCTTCACAGCTATCCTAATATCCACTTGCAGATTCTACAAAAAGAGTGTATCAAAACTGCTCTGTCAAAAGGAAGGTTCTTCTCTGTTAGGTGAGTGCATACGTCATAAAGGAGTTTCTGAGAATGTTTCAGTCTAGTGGTTATGGGAAGATATTTGCTTTTTCCCCGTAGGCCTCAGAGCGCTCCAAATATCCACTTGCACATACTACAAAAAGAGTGCTTCAAAGCTGCTCTCTGAAACGGAATGTTCAACTCTATGAGTTGAATGCAAACACCACAAAGACGTTTCTGAGAATGCTTCTGTCTAGATTTGATATGAAGATATTCCCGTTTCCAAAGAAATCTTCAAATCTATGCAAATGTCCACTTGCAGATTCAACAAAAAGTGTTTTTCAGAACTGCTCTATCAAAAGAAAGATCCACGGCTCTTAGCTGAGTTCACACATCACGAACAAGTTTATGAGTATGCTTCTGTCTAGTTTTTATTTGAAGATATATCCTTTCTCACTATAGACCTGAAAGCTGTCCTAAAGTTCACTTACAGATACTACAGAAAGAGTGTTTCAAAACTGCTGTACGAAAGGGAATGTTCAACTCTGTGACTTGAATGCACACATCACAAGGATGTTTCTGAGGATGCTGCTGTCTACTTTTTATACGTAATCCCGTTTCCAACGAAATCCTCCAAGTTATCCAAATATCCACTTGCAGATTCCACAGAAAGACTGTTTCAAAACTGCTCTGTCAATAGAAAGGTTCAACTCTGTTAGCTGCGTGCATATATCCCAAAGAAGATTCTGAGATTTCTTCTGTCTAGTTTTTATCGGAAGATATTTCCCTTTTCACCGTAGGCGTCAAGGCGCTCCAAATGTCCAATTCCAGATACTATAAAAAGAGTGTTTCAAACCTACTCTGTGAAAGGGAATATTCAACTCTGTGACTGGAATGCAGATATCACAAAGAAGTTTCTGAGAATGCTTCTGTCGAGATTTTATATGAAGATATTCCCGTTTCCAACGAAATCCCTGAAATCTATCCAAATATCCCCTTGCAGATTCTACAAAAAGAGTGTTTCAAAACTGCTCTGTAAAAAGAAAGGTTCAACTCTGTTAGTTGAGTACACACATCACAAACAAGTTTCACACAATGCTTCTTTCTAGCTTGTAGGGGAAGATTTTCCCTTTATCACCATGGGCCTCCAACCGTCCGAAACATCCACTTCCATATTCTACAAAAAGAGCGTTTCAAACCTGCTCTAGGAAAGGCAATGTTCAACTCTGTGACTTGAATGCAGACATCACAGAGCAGTTTCTGAGAATGCTTCTGTCTAGATTTTATAGGAAGGTATTCCCGTTTCCAACGAAATCTTCACAGCTATCCAAATATCCACTTGCAGATTCTACAAAAAGAGTGTATCAAAACTGCTCTGTCAAAAGGAAGGTTCTTCTCTGTTAGGTGAGTGCATACGTCATAAAGGAGTTTCTGAGAATGTTTCTGTCTAGTGGTTATGGGAAGATATTTGCTTTTTCACCGCAGGCCTCAGAGCGCTCCAAATATCCACTTGCACATACTACAAAAAGAGTGCCTCAAAGCTGCTCTCTGAAACGGAATGTTCAACTCTATGAGTTGAATGCAAACATCACAAAGACGTTTCTGAGAATGCTTCTGTCTAGATTTGATATGAAGATATTCCCGTTTCCAACGAAATCTTCAAATCTATCCAAATGTCCACTTGCAGATTAAACAAAAGTGTTTTTCAGAACTGCTCTATCAAAAGAAAGATCCACCTCTGTTAGCTGAGTTCACACATCACAAACAAGTTTATGAGAATGCTTCTGTCTAGTTTTTATTTGAAGATATTTCCTTTCTCAACATAGACCTGAAAGCTCTCCTAATGTTCACTTCCAGATACTACAGAAAGAGCGTTTCAAAACTGCTGTACGAAAGGGAATGTTCAACTCTGTGACTTGAATGCACACATCACAAAGAAGTTTCTGAGGATGCTGCTGTCTACTTTTTATACTTAATCCCGTTTCCAACGAAATCCTCCAAGCTATCCAAATATCCACTTGCAGATTCCACAGAAAGACTGTTTCAAAACTGCTCTGTCAATAGAAAGGTTCAACTCTGTTAGCTGTGTGCATATATCCCAAAGAAGATTCTGAGATTGCTTCTGTCTAGTTTTTATGGGAAGATATTTCCCTTTTGACCGTAGGTGTCAAGGCGCTCCAAATGTCCACTTCCAGATACTACAAAAAGAGTGTTTCAAACCTACTCTGTGAAAGGGAATATTCAACTCTGTGACTTGAATGCACATATCACAAAGAAGTTTCTGAGAATGCTTCTGTCGAGATTTTATATGAAGATATTCCCGTTTCCAACGAAATCCTGAAATCTATCCTAATATCCCCTCGCAGATTCTACAAAAAGAGTGTTTCAAAACTGCTCTGTAAAAAGAAATGTTCAACTCTGTTAGTTGAGTACACACATCACAAACAAGTTTCACAGAATGCTTCTTTCTAGCTTGTAGGGGAAGATATTCCGTTTATCACCATGGGCCTCCAACCGTCCGAAACATCCACTTCCATATACTACAAAAAGAGCGTTTCAAACCTGCTCTATGAAAGGCAATGTTCAACTCTGTGACTTGAATACAGACATCACAGAGCAGTTTCTGAGAATGCTTCTGTCTAGATTTTAAAGGAAGATATTCCCGTTTCCAACGAAATCTTCACAGCTATCCAAATATCCACTTGTAGATTCTACAAAAAGAGTGTATCAAAACTGCTCTGTCAAAAGGAAGGTTCTTTTCTGTTAGGTGAGTGCATACGTCATAAAGGAGTTTCTGAGAATGTTTCTGTCTAGTGGTTATGGGAAGATATTTGCTTTTTCACCGTAGGCCTCAGAGCGCTCCAAATATCCACTTGCACATACTACAAAAAGAGTGCTTCAAAGCTGCTCTCTGAAAGGGAATGTTCAACTCTATGAGTTGAATGCAAACATCACAAAGACGTTTCTGAGAATACTTCTGTCTAGATTTGATATGAAGATATTCCCGTTTCCAACGAAATCTTCAAATCTATCCAAATGTCCACTTGCAGATTCAACAAAGTGTTTTTCAGAACTGCTCTATCAAAAGAAAGATCCACCTCTGTTAGCTGAGATCACACTTCACAAACAAGTTTATCAGAATGCTTCTGTCTAGTTTTTATTTGAAGATATTTCCTTTCTCACCATAGAGCTGAAAGCTGTCCTAATGTTCACTTCCAGATAGTACAGAAAGAGTGTTTCAAAACTGCTGTACGAAAGGGAATGTTCAACTCTGTGACTTGAATGCACACATCACAAAGAAGTTTCTGAGGATGCTGCTGTCTACTTTTTATACGTAATCCCGTTTCCAACGAAATCCTCCAAGCTATCCAAATATCCACTTGCAGATTCCACAGAAAGACTGTTTCAAAACTGCTCTGTCAATAGAAAGGTTCAACTTTGTTAGCTGCGTGCATATATCCCAAAGAAGATTCTGAGATTGCTTCTGTCTAGTTTTTATGGGAAGATATTTCCCTTTTCACCGTAGGCGTCAAGGCGCTCCAAATGTCCACTTCCAGATACTACAAAAAGAGTGTTTCAAACCTACTCTGTGAAAGGGAATATTCAACTCTGTGACTTGAAGGCAGATATCACAAAGAAGTTTCTGAGAATGCTTCTGTCGAGATTTTATATGAAGGTATTCCCGTTTCCAACGAAATCCTGAAATGTATCCAAATATCCCCTCGCAGATTCTACAAAAAGAGTGTTTCAAAACTGCTCTGTAAAAAGAAAGGTTCAACTCTGTTAGTTGAGTACACACATCACAAACAAGTTTCACACAATGCTTCTTTCTAGCTTGTAGGGGAAGATATTCCCTTTATCACCATGGGCCTCCAACCGTCCGAAACATCCACTTCCATATACTACAAAAAGAGCGTTTCAAACCTGCTCTATGAAAGGCAATGTTCAACTCTGTGACTTGAATGCAGACATCAAAGAGCAGTTTCTGAGAATGCTTCTGTCTAGATTTTATAGGAAGATATTCCCGTTTCCAAAGAAATCTTCACAGCTATCCAAATATCCACTTGCATATTCTACAAAAAGAGTGTATCAAAACTGCTCTGTCAAAAGGAAGGTTCTTCTCTGTTAGGTGAGTGCATACGTCATACAGGAGTTTCTGAGAATGTTTCTGTCTAGTGGTTATGGGAAGATATTTGCTTTTTCACCGTAGGCCTCAGAGCGCTCCAAATATCCCCTTGCACATACTACAAAAAGAGTGCTTCAAAGCTGCTCTCTGAAAGGGAATGTTCAACTCTATGAGTTGAATGCAAACATCAGAAAGACGTTTCTGAGAATGCTTCTGTCTAGATTTGATATGAAGATATTCCCGTTTCCAACGAAATCTTCAAATCTATCCAAATGTCCACTTGCAGATTCAACAAAAAGTGTTTTTCAAAACTGCTGTATCAAAGGAAAGATCCACGTCTGTTAGCTGAGTTCACACATCACAAACAAGTTTATGAGAATGCTTCTGTCTAGTTTTTATTTGAAGATATATCCTTTCTCACCATAGACCTGGAAGCTCTCCTAATGTTCACTTCCAGATACTACAGAAAGAGTGTTTCAAAACTGCTGTACGAAAGGGAATGTTCAACTCTGTGACTTGAATGCACACATCACAAAGAATTTTCTGAGAATGCTGCTGTCTACTTTTTATACGTAATCCTGTTTCCAACGAAATCCTCCAAGCTATCCAAATATCCACTTGCAGATTCCAGAGAAAGACTGTTTCAAAACTGCTCTGTCAATAGAAAGGTTCAACTCTGTTAGCTGCGTGCATATATCCCAAAGAAGATTCTGAGATTGCTTCTGTCTAGTTTTTATGGGAAGATATTTCCTTTTTCACTGTAGGCGTCAATGCGCTCCAAATGTCCACTTCCAGATACTACAAAAAGAGTGTTTCAAACCTACTCTGTGAAAGGGAATATTCAACTCTGTGACTTGAATGCAGATATCCCAAAGAAGTTTCTGAGAATGCTTCTGTCGAGATTTTATATGAAGATATTCCCGTTTCCAACGAAATGCTGAAATGTATCCAAATATCCCCTCGCAGATTCTACAAAAAGAGTGTTTCAAAACTGCTCTGTAAAAAGAAAGGTTCAACTATTGTTAGTTGAGTACACACATCACAAACAAGTTTCACAGAATGCTTCTTTCTAGCTTGTAGGGGAAGATATTCCCTTTATCACCATGGGCCTCAAACCGTCCGAAACGTCCACTTCCATATACTACAAAAAGAGCGTTTCAAACCTGCTCTATGAAAGGCAATGTTCAACTCCGTGACTTGAATGCAGACATCACAGAGCAGTTTCTGAGAATGCTTCTGTCTAGATTTTATAGGAAGATATTCCCGTTTCCAGCGAAATCTTCACAGATATCCAAATATCCACTTGCAGATTCTACAAAAAGAGTGTATCAAAACTGCTCTGTCAAAAGGAAAGTTCTTCTCTGCTAGTTGAGTACATACGTCATAAAGAAGTTTCTGAGAATGTTTCTGTCTAGTGGTTATGGGAAGATATTTGCTTTTTCACCGAAGGCCTCAGAGCGCTCCAAATATCCACTTGCACATACTACAAAATGAGTGCCTCAAAGCTGCTCTCTGAAACGGAATGTTCAACTCTATGAGTTGAATGCAAACATCACAAAGACGTTTCCGAGAATGCTTCTGTCTAGATTTGATATGAAGATATTCCCGTTTCCAACGAAATCTTCAAATCTATCCAAATGTCCACTTGCAGATTCAACAAAAAGTGTTTTTCAGAACTGCTCTATCAAAAGAAAGATCCATCTCGGTTAGCTGAGTTCACACATCACAAACAAGTTTATGAGAATGCTTCTGTCTAGTTTTTATTTGAAGATATTTCCCTTCTCACCATAGACCTGCAAGCTGTCCTAATGTTCACTTCCAGATACTACAGAAAGAGTGTTTCAAAACTGCTGTACGAAAGGGAATGTTCAACTCTGTGACTTGAATGCACACATCACAAAGTAGTTTCTGACGATGCTGCTGTCTACTTTTTATACGTAATCCCGTTTCCAACGAAATCCTCCAAGCTATCCAAATATCCACTTGCAGATTCCACAGAAAGACTGTTTCAAAACTGCTCTGTCAATAGAAAGGTTCAACTCTGTTAGCTGCGTGCATATATCCCAAAGAAGATTGTGAGATTGCTTCTGTCTAGTTTTTATGGGAAGATATTTCCCTTTTCACCTTAGGCGTCAAGGCGCTCCAAATGTCCACTTCCAGATACTACAAAAAGAGTGTTTCAAACCTACTCTGTGAAAGGGAATATTCAACTCTGTGACTTGAAGGCAGATATCACAAAGAAGTTTCTGAGAATGCTTCTGTCGAGATTTTATATGTAGATATTCCCGTTTCCAACGAAATCCTGAAATCTATCCAAATATGCCCTCGCAGATTCTACAAAAAGAGTGTTTCAAAACTGCTCTGTAAAAAGAAAGGTTCAACTCTGTTAGTTGAGTACACACATCACAAACAAGTTTCACAGAATGCTTCTTTCTAGCTTGTAGGGGAAGATATTTCCTTTATCACCATGGGCCTCAAACCGTCCAAAACGTCCACTTCCATATACTAAAAAAACAGTGTTTGAAACCTGCTCTATGAAAGGCAATGTTCAACTCTGTGACTTGAATGCAGACATCACAGAGCAGTTTCTGAGAATGCTTCTGTCCAGACTTTATAGGAAGATATTCCCGTTTCCAACGAAATCTTCACAGCTATACAAATATCCACTTGCAGATAGTACAAAAAGAGTGTATCAAAAATGCTCTGTCAAAAGGAAAGTTCTTCTCTGCTAGTTGAGTACATACGTCATAAAGAAGTTTCTGAGAATGTTTCTGTCTAGTGGTTATGGGAAGATATTTGCTTTTTCACCTTAGGCCTCAGAGCGCTCCAAATATCCCCTTGCACATACTACAAAAAGAGCGCTTCAAAGCTGCTCTCTGAAACGGAATGTTCAACTCTATGGGTTGAATGCAAACATCACAAAGACGTTTCTGAGAATGCTTCTGTCTAGATTTGATATGAAGATATTCCCGTTCCCACGAAATCTTCAAATCTATCCAAATGTCCACTTGCAGATTCAACAAAACGTGTTTTTCAGAACTGCTCTATCAAAAGAAAGATCCACGTCTCTTAGCTGAGTTCACACATCACAAACAAGTTTATGAGAATGCTTCTGTATAGTTTTTATTTGAAGATATTTCCTTTCTCACCATAGACCTGAAAGCTGTCCTAATGTTCACTTCCAGATACTACAGAAAGAGTGTTTCAAAACTGCTGTACGAAAGGGAATGTTCAACTCTGTGACTTGAATGCACACATCACAAAGAAGTTTCTGAGGATGCTGCTGTCTACTTTTTATGCGTAATCCCGTTTCCAACGAAATCCTCCAAGCTATCCAAATATCCACTTGCAGATTCCACAGAAAGACTGTTTCAAAACTGCTCTGTCAATAGAAAGGTTCAACTCTGTTAGCTGCGTGCATATATCCCAAAGAAGATTCTGAGATTGCTTCTGTCTAGTTTTTATGGGAAGATATTTCCCTTTTCACCGTAGGCGTCAAGGCGCTCCAAATGTCCACTTCCAGATATTACAAAAAGAGTGTTTCAAACCTACTCTGTGAAAGGGAATATTCAACTCTGTGACTTGAATGCAGATATCACAAAGAAGTTTCTGAGAATGCTTCTGTCGAGATTTTATATGAAGATATTCCCGTTTCCAACGAAATCCTGAAATCTATCCAAATATCCCCTCGCAGATTCTACAAAAAGAGTGTTTCAAAACTGCTCTGTAAAAAGAAAGGTTCAACTCTGTTAGTTGAGTACACACATCACAAAGAAGTTTCACAGAATGCTTCTTTCTATCTTGTAGGGGAAGATATTCCCTTTATCACTATGGGCCTCAAACCGTCCGAAACGTCTACTTCCATATACTACAAAAAGAGCGTTTCAAACGTGCTCTATGAAAGGCAATGTTCAACTCTGTGACTTGAATGCAGACATCACAGAGCAGTTTCTGAGAATGCTTCTGTCTAGATTTTATAGGAAGATATTCCCGTTTCCAACGAAATCTTCACAGCTATCCAAATATCCACTTGCAGATTCTACAAAAAGAGTGTATCAAAACTGCTCTGTCAAAAGGAAGGTTCTTCTCTTTTAGGTGAGTGCATAGGTCATAAAGGAGTTTCTGAGAATGTTTCCGTCTAGTGGTTATGGGATGATATTTGCTTTTTCACCGTAGGCCTCAGAGCGCTCCAAATATCCACTTGCACATACTACAAAAAGAGTGCTTCAAAGCTGCTCTCTGAAAGGGAATGTTCAACTCTATGAGTTGAATGCAAACATCACAAAGACGTTTCTGAGAATGCTTCTGTCTAGATTTGATATGAAGATATTCCCGTTTCCAACGAAATCTTCAAATCTATCCAAATGTCCACTTGCAGATTCAACAAAAAGTGTTTTTCAGAACTGCTCTATCAAAAGAAAGATCCACCTCTGTTAGCTGAGTTCAGACATCACAAACAAGTTTATGAGAATGCTTCTGTCTAGTTTTTATTTGAAGATATTTCCTTTCTCACCATAGACCTGAAAGCTTTCCTAATGTTCACTTCCAGTTACTACAGAAAGAGTATTTCAAAACTGCTGTACGAAAGGGATTGTTCAACTCTGTGACTTGAATGCACACATCACAAAGAAGTTTCTGAGGATGCTGCTGTCTACTTTTTATACGTAATCCCGTTTCCAACGAAATCCTCCAAGCTATCCAAATATCCACTTGCAGATTCCACAGAAAGACTGTTTCAAAACTGCTCTGTCAATAGAAAGGTTCAACTCTGTTAGCTGCGTGCATATATCCCAAAGAAGATTCTGAGATTGTTTCTGTCTAGTTTTTATGGGAAGATATTTCCCTTTTCACCGTAGGTGTCAAGGCGCTCCAAATGTCCACTTCCAGATACTACAAAAAGAGTGTTTCAAACCAACTCTGTGAAAGGGAATATTCAACTCTGTGACTTGAATGCACATATCACAAAGAAGTTTCTGAGAATGCTTCTGTCGAGATTTTATATGAAGATATTCCCCTTTCCAACGAAATCCTGAAATCTATCCAAATATCCCCTCGCAGATTCTACAAAAAGAGTGTTTCAAAACTGCTCTGTAAAAAGAAAGGTTCAACTCTGTTAGTTTGAGTACACACATCACAAACAAGTTTCACAGAATGCTTCTTTCTAGCTTGTAGGGGAAGATATTCCCTTTATCACCATGGGCCTCAAACCGTCCGAAACGTCCACTTCCATGTACTACAAAAAGAGCGTTTCAAACCTGTTCTAGGAAAGGCAATGTTCAACTCTGTGACTTGAATGCAGACATCACAGAGCAGTTTCTGAGAATGCTTCCATCTAGATTTTATAGGAAGATATTCCCGTTTCCAACGAAATCTTCACAGCTATCCAAATATCCACTTGCAGATTCTGCAAAAAGAGTGTATCAAAACTGCTCCGTCAAAAGGAAGGTTCTTCTCTGTTAGGTGAGTGCATACGTCATAAAGGAGTTTCTGAGAATGTTTCTGTCTAGTGGTTATGGGAAGATATTGGCTTTTTCACCGTAGGCCTCAGAGCGCTCCAAATATCCACTTGCACATACTACAAAAAGAGTGCCTCAAAGCTGCTCTCTGAAACGGAATGTTCAACTCTATGAGTTGAATGCAAACATCACAAAGACGTTTCTGAGAATGCTTCTGTCTAGATTTGATATGAAGATATTCCCGTTTCCAACGAAATCTTCATATCTATCCAAATGTCCACTTGCAGATTCAACAAAAAGTGTTTTTCAAAACTGCTGTATCAAAAGAAAGATCCACGTCTGTTAGCTGATGCTCTATCAAAAGAAAGATTCACCTCTGTTAGCTGAGTTCACACATCACAAACAAGTTTATGAAAATGCTTCTGTCTAGTTTTTATTTGAAGATATTTCCTTTCTCACCATAGACCTGAAAGCTGTCCTAATGTTCACTTCCAGATACTACAGAAAGAGTGTTTCAAAACTGCTGTATGAAAGGGAATGTTCAAATCTGTGACTTGAATGCACACATCACAAAGAAATTTCTGAGGATGCTGCTATCTACTTTTTATACGTAATCCCGTTTCCAACGAAATCCTCCAAGCTATCCAAATATCCACTTGCAGATTCCACAGAAAGACTGTTTCAAAACTGCTCTGTCAATAGAAAGGTTCAACTCTGTTAGCTGCGTGCATATATCCCAAAGAAGATTCTGAGATTGCTTCTGTCTAGTTTTTATGGGAAGATATTTCCCTTTTCACCGTAGGTGTCAAGGCGCTCCAAATGTCCACTTCCAGATACTACAAAAAGAGTGCTTCAAACCTACTCTGTGAAAGGGAATATTCAACTCTGTGACTTAAAGGCAGATATCACAAAGAAGTTTCTGAGAATGCTTCTGTCGAGATTTTATATGAAGATACTCCCGTTTCCAACGAAATCCTGAAATCTATCCAAATATCCCTTCGCAGATTCTACAAAAAGAGTGTTTCAAAATTGCTCTGTAAAAAGAAAGGTTCAACTCTGTTAGTTGAGTACACACATCACAAACAAGTTTCACAGAATGCTTTCTTTCTAGCTTGTAGGGGAAGATATTCCCTTTATCACCATGGGCCTCCAACCGTCCGAAACATCCACTTCCATATACTACAACAAGAGCGTTTCAAACCTGCTCTATGAAAGGCAATGTTCAACTCTGTGACTTGAATACAGACATCACAGAGCAGTTTCTGAGAATGCTTCTGTCTAGATTTTATAGGAAGATATTCCCGTTTCCAACGAAATCTTCACAGCTATCCAAATATCCACTTGCAGATTCTACAAAAAGAGTGTATCAAAACTGTTCTGTCAAAAGGAAGGTTCTTCTCTGTTAGGTGAGTGCATACGTCATAAAGGAGTTTCTGAGAATGTTTCTGTCTAGTGGTTATGGGAAGATATTTGCTTTTTCACCGTAGGCCTCAGAGCGCTCCAAATATCCACTTGCACATACTACAAAAAGAGTGCCTCAAAGCTGCTCTATGAAACGGAATGTTCAACTCTATGAGTTGAATGCAAACATCACAAAGACGTTTCTGAGAATGCTTCTGTCTAGATTTGATATGAAGATATTCCCGTTTCCAACGAAATCTTCAAATCTATCCAAATGTCCACTTGCAGATTCAACAAAAAGTGTTTTTCAGAACTGCTCTATCAAGAGAAAGATCCACCTCTGTTAGCTGAGTTCACACATCACAAACAAGTTTATGAGAATGCTTCTGTCTAGTTTTTATTTGAAGATATTTCCTTTCTCACCATAGAGCTGAAAGCTGTCCTAATGTTCACTTCCAGATACTACAGAAAGAGTGTTTCAAAACTGCTGTACGAAAGGGAATGTTCAACTCTGTCACTTGAATGCACACATCACAAAGAAGTTTCTGAGGATGCTGCTGTGTACTTTTGATACGTAATCCCGTTTCCAACGAAATCCTCCAAGCTATCGAAATATCCACTTGCAGATTCCACAGAACGACTGTTTCAAAACTGCTCTGTCAATAGAAATGTTCAACTCTGTTAGCTGCGTGCATATATCCCAAAGAAGATTCTGAGATTGCTTCTGTCTAGTTTTTATGGGAAGATATTTCCCTTTTCACCGTAGGCGTCAAGGCGCTCCAAATGTCCACATCCAGATACTACAAAAAGAGTGTTTCAAACCTACACTGTGAAAGGGAATATTCAACTCTGTGACTTGAATGCACATATCACAAAGAAGTTTCTGAGAATGCTTCTGTAGAGATTTTATATGAAGATATTCCCGTTTCCAACGAAATCCTGAAATCTATCCAAATATCCCCTCGCAGATTCTACAAAAAGAGTGTTTCAAAACTGCTCTGTGAAAAGAAAGGTTCAACTCTGTTAGTTGAGTACACACATCACAAACAAGTTTCACAGAATGCTTCTTTCTAGCTTGTAGGGGAAGTTATTCCCTTTATCACCATGGGCCTCAAACCGTCCGAAACGTCCACTTCCATATACTACAAAAAGAGCGTTTCAAACCTGCTCTATGAAAGGCAATGTTCAACTCTGTGACTTGAATGCAGACATCACAGAGCTGTTTCTGAGAATGCTTCTGTCTAGATTTTATAGGAAGATATTCCCGTTTCCAACGAAATCTTCACAGCTATCCCAATATCCACTTGCAGATTCTACAAAAAGAGTGTATCAAAACTGCTCTGTCAAAAGGAAGGTTCTTCTCTGTTAGGTGAGTGCATACGTCATAAAGGAGTTTCTGAGAATGATTCTGTCTAGTGGTTATGGGAAGATATTTGCTTTTTCCCCGTAGGCCTCAAAGCGCTCCAAATGTCAACTTGCACATACTACAAAAAGAGTGCTTCAAAGCTGCTCTCTGAAAGGGAATGTTCAACTCTATGAGTTGAATGCAAACATCGCAAAGACGTTTCTGAGAATGCTTCTGTCTAGATTTGATATGAAGATATTCCCGTTTCCAACGAAATCTTGAAATCTATCCAAATGTCCACTTCCAGATTCAACAAAGTGTTTTTCAGAACTGCTCTATTCAAAGAAAGATCCACCTCTGTTAGCTGAGATCACACTTCACAAACAAGTTTATCAGAATGCTTCCGTCTAGTTTTTATTTGAAAATATATCCTTTCTCACTATAGACCTGAAAGCTGTCCTAAAGTTCACTTCCAGATACTACAGAAAGAGTGTTTCAAAACTGCTGTACGAAAGGGAATGTTCAACTCTGTGACTTGAATGCACACATCACAAGGATGTTTCTGAGGATGCTGCAGTCTACTTTTTTTACGTAATCCCGTTTCCAAAGAAAACTTCCAAGCTATCCAAATATCCACTTGCAGATTCCACAGAAAGACTGTTTCAAAACTGCTCTGTCAATACAAATGTTCAACTCTGTTAGCTGCCTGCATATATCCCAAAGAAGATTCTGAGATTGCTTCTGTCTAGTTTTTATGGGAAGATATTTCCCTTTTCATCGTAGGTGTCAAGGCGCTCCAAATGTCCACTTCCAGATACAACAAAAAGAGTGTTTCAAACCTACTCTGTGAAAGGGAATATTCAACACTGAGACTTGAATGCACATATCACAAAGAAGTTTCTGAGAATGCTTCTGTCGAGATTTTATATGAAGATATTCCCGTTTCCAACCAAATCCTGAAATCTATCCAAATATCCCCTCGCAGATTCTACAAAAAGAGTGTTTCAAAACTGCTCTGTGAAAAGAAAGGTTCAACTCTGTTAGTTGAGTACACACATCACAAACAAGTTTCACAGAATGCTTCTTTCTAGCTTGTAGGGGAAGATATTCCCTTTATAACCATGGGCCTCAAACCGTCCGATAAGTCCACTTCCATATACTACAAAAAGAGCGTTTCAAACCTGCTCTATGAAAGGCAATGTTCAACTCTGTGACTTGAATGCAGACATCACAGAGCAGTTTCTGAGAATGCTTCTGTCTAGATTTTATAGGAAGATATTCCCGTTTCCAACGAAATCTTCACAGCTATCCAAATATCCACTTGGAGATTCTACAAAAAGAGTGTATCAAAACTGCTCTGTCAAAAAGAAGGTTCTTCTCTGTTAGTTGCGTACATACGTCATAAAGGAGTTTCTGAGAATGTTTCTGTTTAGTGGTTACGGGAAGATATTTGCTTTTTCACCGTAGGCCTCAGAGCGATCCAAATATCCACTTGCACATACTACAAAAAGAGTGCTTCAAAGCTGCTCTCTGAAACGGAATGTTCAACTCTATGAGTTGAATGCAAACATCACAAAGACGTTTCTGAGAATGCTTCTGTCTAGATTTGATATGAAGATATTCCCGTTTCCAACGAAATCTTCAAATCTATCCAAATGTCCACTTGCAGATTCAACAAAAAGTGTTTTTCAAAACTGCTGTATCAAAAGAAAGATCCACGTCTGTTAGCTGAGTTCACACATCACAAACAAGTTTATGAGAATGCTTGTCTGTCTAGTTTTTATTTGAAGATATTTCCTTTCTCACCATAGACCTGAAAGCTGTCCTAATGTTCACTTCCAGATGCTACAGAAAGAGTGTTTCAAAACTGCTGTACGAAAGGGAATGTTCAACTCTGTGACTTGAATGCACACATCACAAAGAAGTTTCTGAGGATGCTGCTGTCTACTTTTTATACGTAATCCCGTTTCCATTGAAATCCTCCAAGCTATCCAAATATCCACTTGCAGATTCCACAGAAAGACTGTTTCAAAACTGCTCTGTCAATAGAAAGGTTCAACTCTGTTAGCTTCGTGCATATATCCCAAAGAAGATTCTGAGATTGCTTCTGTCTAGTTTTTATGGGAAGATATTTCCCTTTTCACCGTAGGCGTCAAGGCGCTCCAAATGTCCACTTCCAGATACTACAAAAAGAGTGTTTCAAACCTACTCGGTGAAAGGGAATATTCAACTCTGTGACTTGAATGCACATATCACAAAGAAGTTTCTGAGAATGCTTCTGTCGAGATTTTATATGAAGATATTCCCGTTTCCAAAGAAATCCTGAAATCTATCCAAATATCCCCTCGCAGATTCTACAAAAAGAGTGTTTCAAAACTGCTCTGTAAAAAGAAAGGTTCAACTCTGTTAGTTGAGTACACACATCACAAATAAGTTTCACAGAATGCTTTCTTTCTAGCTTGTAGGGGAAGATATTCACTTTATCACCATGGGCCTCAAACCGTCCGAAACGTCCACTTCCATATACTACAAAAAGAGCGTTTCAAACCTGTTCTTGGAAAAGCAATGTTCAACTCTGTGACTTGAATGCAGACATCACAGAGCAGTTTCTGAGAATGCTTCTGTCTAGATTTTATAGGAAGATATTCCCGTTTCCAACGAAATCTTCACAGCTATCCAAATATCCACTTGCAGATTCTACAAAAAGAGTGTATCAAAACTGCTCTGTCAAATGGAAGGTTCTTCTCTGTTAGGTGAGTGCATACGTCATAAAGGAGTTTCTGAGAATGTTTCTGTCTAGTGGTTATGGGAAGATATTTGCTTTTTCCCCTTAGGCCTCAAAGCGCTCCAAATGTCAATTTGCACTTACTACAAAAAGAGTGCTTCAAAACTGCTCTCTGAAAGGGAATGTTCAACTCTATGAGTTGAATGCAAACATCACAAAGACGTTTCTGAGAATGCTTCTGTCTAGATTTGATATGAAGATATTCCCGTTTCCAAAGAAATCTTCAAATCTATCCAAATGTCCACTTGCAGATTCAACAAAAAGTGTTTTTCAGAACTGCTCTATCAAAAGAAAGATCCACGGCTCTTAGCTGAGTTCACACATCACGAACAAGTTTATGAGAATGCTTCTGTCTAGTTTTTATTTGAAGATATATCCTTTCTCACTATAGACCTGAAAGCTGTCCTAAAGTTCACTTCCAGATACTACAGAAAGAGTGTTTCAAAACTGCTGTACGAAAGGGAATGTTCAACTCTGTGACTTGAATGCACACATCACAAGGATGTTTCTGAGGATGCTGTTGTCTACTTTTTATACGTAATCCCGTTTCCAACGAAATCCTCCAAGCTATCCAAATATCCACTTGCAGATTCCACAGAAAGACTGTTTCAAAACTGCTATTTCAATAGAAAAGTTCAACTCTGTTAGCTGTGTGCATATATCCCAAAGAAAATTCTGAGATTGCTTCTGTCTAGTTTTCATGGGAAGATATTTCCCTTTTCACCGTAGGTGTCAAGGCGCTCCAAATGTCCACTTCCAGATACTACAAAAAGAGTGTTTCAAACCTACTCTCTGAAAGGGAATATTCCGCTCTGTGACTTGAATGCAGATATCACAATGAAGTTTCTGAGAATGCTTCTGTCGAGATTTTATATGAAGATATTCCCGTTTCCAACGAAATCCTGAAATCTCTCCAAATATCCCCTCGCAGATTCTACAAAAAGAGTGTTTCAAAACTGCTCTTTAAAAAGAAAGGTTCAACTCTGTTAGTTGAGTACACACATCACAAACAAGTTTCACAGAATGCTTCTTTCTAGCTTGTAGGGGAAGATATTCCCTTTATCACCATGGGCCTCAAACCGTCCGAAACGTCCACTTCCATATACTACAAAAAGAGCGTTTCAAACCTGCTCCAGGAAAGGCAATGTTCAACTCTGTGACTTGAATGCAGACATCACAGAGCAGTTTCTGAGAATGCTTCTGTCTAGATTTTATAGGAAGATATTCCCGTTTCCAACGAAATCTTCACAGCTATCCAAATATCCACTTGCAGATTCTACAAAAAGAGTGTATCAAAACTGCTCTCTCAAAAGGAAGGTTCTTCTCTGTTAGGTGAGTGCATACGTCATAAAGGAGTTTCTGAGAATGTTTCTGTCTAGTGGTTATGGGAAGATATTTGCTTTTTCCCCGTAGGCCTCAGGGCGCTCCAAATGTCCACTTGCACATGCTACAAAAAGAGTGCTTCAAAGCTGCTCTCTCAAAGGGAATGTTCAACTCTATGAGTTGAATGCAAACATCGCAAAGACGTTTCTGAGAATGCTTCTGTCTAGATTTGATATGAAGATATTCCCGTTTCCAACGAAATCTTCAAATCTATCCAAATGTCCACTTGCAGATTCAACAAAAAGTGTTTTTCAGAACTGCTCTATCAAAAGAAAGATCCACCTCTGTTAGCTGAGTTCAGACATCGCAAACATGTTTTTGAGAATGCTTCTGTCTAATTTTTATTTGAAGATATTTCCTTTCTCACCATAGACCTGAAAGCTGTCCTAATGTTCACTTCCAGATACTACAGAAAGAGTGTTTCAAAACTGCTGTACGAAAGGGAATGTTCAACTCTGTGACTTGAATGCACACATCAGAAAGAAGTTTCTGAGGATGCTGCTGTCTACTTATTATACGTAATCCCGTTTCCAACGAAATCCTCCAAGCTATCCAAATATCCACTTGCAGAATCCATAGAAAGACTGTTTCAAAACTGCTCTGTCAATAGAAAGGTTCAACTCTGTTAGCTGCGTGCATATATCCCAAAGAAGATTCTGAGATTGCTTCTGTCTAGTTTTTATGGGAAGATATTTCCCTTTTCACCGTAGGTGTCAAGGCGCTCCAAATGTTCACTTCCAGATACTACAAAAAGAGTGTTTCAAACCTACTCTGTGAAAGGGAATATTCAACTCTGTGACTTAAAGGCAGATATCACAAAGAAGTTTCTGAGAATGCTTCTGTCGAGATTTTATATGAAGATATTCCAGTTTCCAACCAAATCCTGAAATCTATCCAAATATCCCCTCGCAGATTCTACAAAAAGAGTGTTTCAAAAGTGCTCTGTAAAAAGAAAGGTTCAACTCTGTTAGTTGAGTACACACATCACAAACAAGTTTCACAGAATGCTTCTTTCTAGCTTGTAGGGGAAGATATTCCCTTTATCACCATGGGCCTCAAACCGTCTGAAACGTCCACTTCCATATACTGCAAAAAGAGCATTTCAAACCTGCTCTATGAAAGGCAATGTTCAACTCTGTGACTTGAATGCAGACATCACAGAGCAGTTTCTGAGAATGCTTCTGTCTAGATTTTATAGGAAGATATTCCCGTTCCAACGAAATCTTCACAGCTATCCAAATATCCACTTGCAGATTCTACAAAAAGAGTGTATCAAAACTGCTCTGTCAAAAGGAAGGTTCTTCTCTGTTAGGTGAGTGCATACGTCATAAAGGAGTTTCTGAGAATGTTTCTGTCTAGTGGTTATGGGAAGATATTTGCTTTTTCACCGTAGGCCACAGAGCGATCAAAACATCCACTTGCACATACTACAAAAAGAGTGCTTCAAAGCTGCTCTCTGAAAGTGAATGTTCAACTCTATGAGTTGAATGCAAACATCACAAAGACGTTTCTGAGAATGCTTCTGTCTAGATTTGATATGAAGTTATTCCCGTTTCCAACGAAATCTTCAAATCTATCCAAATGTCCACTTGCAGATTCAACAAAAAGTGTTTTTCAGAACTGCTCTATCAAAAGAAAGATCCACCTCTGTTAGCTGAGTTCACACATCACAAACAAGTTTATGAAAATGCTTCTGTCTAGTTTTTATTTGAAGATATTTCCTTTCTCACCATAGACCTGAAAGCTGTCCTAATGTTCACTTCCAGTTACTACAGAAAGAGTGTTTCAAAACTGCTGTACGAAAGGGAATGTTCAACTCTGTGAGTTGAATGCACACATCACAAAGAAGTTTCTGAGGATGCTGCTGTCTACTTTTTATACGTAATCCCGTTTCCAACGAAATCCTCCAAGCTATCCAAATATCCACTTGCAGATTCCACAGAAAGACTGTTTCAAAACTGCTCTGTCAATAGAAAGATTCAACTCTGTTAGCTGCGTGCATATATCCCAAAGAAGATTCTGAGATTACTTCTGTCTAGTTTTTATGGGAAGATATTTCCCTTTTCACCGTAGGCGTCAAGGCGCTCCAAATGTCCACTTCCAGATACTACAAAAAGAGTGTTTCAAACCTACTCTGTGAAAGGGAGTATTCAACTCTGTGACTTGAATACACATATCACAAAGAAGTTTCTGAGAATGCTTCTGTCGAGATTTTATATGAAGATAATCCCGTTTCCAACGAAATCCTGAAATCTATCCAAATATCCCCACGCAGATTCTACAAAAAGAGTGTTTCAAAACTGCTCTGTAAAAAGAATGGTTCAACTCTGTTAGTTGAGTACACACATCACAAAAAAGTTTCACAGAATGCTTCTTTCTAGCTTGTAGGGGAAGATATTCCCTTTATCACCATGTGCCTCAAACCGTCCGAAACTTCCACTTCCATATACTACAAAAAGAGCGTTTCAAACCTGCTCTAGGAAAGGCAATGTTCAACTCTGTGACTTGAATGCAGACATCACATAGCAGTTTCTGAGAATGCTTCTGTCTAGATTTTATAGGAAGATATTCCCGTTTCCAACGAAATCTTCACAGCTATCCCAATATCCACTTGCAGATTCTACAAAAAGAGTGTATCAAAACTGCTCTGTCAAAAGGAAGGTTCTTCTCTGTTAGGTGAGTGCATACGTCATAAAGGAGTTTCTGAGAACGTTTCTGTCTAGTGGTTATGGGAAGATATTTGCTTTTTCACCGAAGGCCTCAGAGCGCTCCAAATATCAACTTGCACATACTACAAAATGAGTGCCTCAAAGCTGCTCTCTGAAACGGAATGTTCAACTCTATGAGTTGAATGCAAACATCACAAAGACGTTTCCGAGAATGCTTCTGTCTAGATTTGATATGAAGATATTCCCGTTTCCAACGAAATCTTCAAATCTATCCAAATGTCCACTTGCAGATTCAACAAAGTGTTTTTCAAAACTGCTGTATCAAAAGAAAGATCCACCACTGTTAGCTGAGTTCACACTTCACAAACAAGTTTATCAGAATGCTTCTGTCTAGTTTTTATTTGAAGATATTTCCTTTCTCACCATAGACCTGAAAGCTGTCCTAATGTTCACTTCCAGATACTACAGAAAGTGTTTCAAAACTGCTGTACGAAAGGGAATGTTCAACTCTGTGACTTGAATGCACACATCACAAAGAAGTTTCTGAGGATGCTGCTGTCTACTTTTTATACGTAATCCCGTTTCCAACGAAATCCTTCAAGCTATCCAAATATCCACTTGCAGATTCCACAGAAAGACTGTTTCAAAACTGCTCTGTCAATAGAAAGGTTCAACTCTGTTAGCTGCGTGCATATATCCCAAAGAAGATTCTGAGATTGCTTCTGTCTACTTTTTATGAGAAGATATTTCCCTTTTCACCGTAGGCGTCAAGGCGCTCCAAATGTCCACTTCAGATACTACAAAAAGAGTGTTTCAAACCTACTCTGTGAAAGGGAATATTGAACTCTGTGACTTGAATGCACATATCAAAAAGAAGTTTCAGAGAATGCTCTGTCGAGATTTTATATGAAGATATTCCCGTTTCCAACGAAATCCTGAAATCTATCCAAATATCCCCTCGCAGATTCTACAAAAAGAGTGTTTCAAAACTGCTCTGTAAAAAGAAAGGTTCAACTCTGTTAGTTGAGTACACACATCACAAACAAGTTTCACAGAATGCTTTCTTTCTAGCTTGTAGGGGAAGATATTCCCCTTATCACCATGGGCCTCCAACCGTCCGAAACATCCACTTCCATATACTACAAAAAGAGCGTTTCAAACCTGCTCTATGAAAGGCAATGTTCAACTCTGTGACTTGAATGCAGACATCACAGAGCAGTTTCTGAGAATGCTTCTGTCTAGATTTTATAGGAAGATATTCCCGTTTCCAACGAAATCTTCACGGCTATCCAAATATCCACTTGCAGATTCTACAAAAAGAGTGTATCAAAACTGCTCTGTCAAAAGGAAGGTTCTTCTCTGTTAGGTGAGTGCATACGTCATAAAGGAGTTTCTGAGAATGTTTCTGTCTAGTGGTTATGGGAAGATATTTGCTTTTTCCCCGTAGGCCTCAGAGCGCTCCAAATATCCACTTGCACATACTACAAAAAGAGTGCTTCAAAGCTGCTCTCTGAAACGGAATGTTCAACTCTATGAGTTGAATGCAAACATCGCAAAGACGTTTCTGAGAATGCTTCTGTCTAGATTTGATATGAAAATATTCCCGTTTCCAACGAAATCTTCAAATCTATCCAAATGTCCACTTGCAGATTCAACAAAAAGTGTTTTTCAGAACTGCTCTATCAAAAGAAAGATCCACCTCTGTTAGCTGAGTTCACACATCATAAACAAGTTTATGAGAATGCTTCTGTCTAGTTTTTATTTGAAGATATTTCCTTTCTCACCATAGACCTGAAAGCTGTCCTAATGTTCACTTCCAGATACTACAGAAAGAGTGCTTCAAAACTGTTGTACGAAAGGGAATGTTCAACTCTGTGACTTGAATGCACACATCACAAAGAAGTTTCTGAGGATGCTGCTGTCTACTTTTTATACTTAATCCCGTTTCCAACGAAATCCTCCAAGCTTTCCAAATATCCACTTGCAGATTCCACAGAAAGACTGTTTCAAAACTGCTCTGTCAATAGAAAGGTTCAACTCTGTTAGCTGCGTGCATATATCCCAAAGAAGATTCTGAGATTGCTTCTGTCTAGTTTTTGTGGGAAGATATTTCGCTTTTCACCGTAGGTGTCAAGGCGCTCCAAATGTCCACTTCCAGATACTACAAAAAGAGTGTTTCAAACCTACTCTGTGAAAGGGAATATTCAACTCTGTGACTTGAATGCACATATCACAAAGAAGTTTCTGAGAATGCTTCTGTCGAGATTTTATATGAAGGTATTCCCGTTTCCAACGAAATCCTGAAATCTATCCAAATATCCCCTCGCAGATTCTACAAAAAGAGTGTTTCAAAACTGCTGTGTAAAAAGAAAGGTTCAACTCTGTTAGTTGAGTACACACATCACAAACAAGTTTCACAGAATGCTTCTTTCTAGCTTGCAGGGGAAGATATTCCCTTTATCACCATGGGCCTCCAACTGTCCGAAACATCCACTTCCATATACTACAAAAAGAGCGTTTCAAACCTGCTCTATGAAAGGCAATGTTCAACTCTGTGACTTGAATGCAGACATCACAGAGCAGTTTCTGAGAATGCTTCTGTCTAGAATTTATAGGAAGATATTCCCGTTTCCAACGAAATCTTCACAGCTATCCAAATATCCACTTGCAGATTCTACAAAAAGAGTGTGTCAAAACTGCTCTGTCAAAAGGAAGGTTCTTCTCTGTTAGTTGAGTACATACGTCATAAAGGAGTTTCTGAGAATGTTTCTGTCTAGTGGTTATGGGAAGATACTTGCTTTTTCACCGTAGGCCTCAGAGCGCTCCAAATATCCACTTGCACATACTACAAAAAGAGTGCTTCAAAGCTGCTCTCTGAAACGGAATGTTCAACTCTATGAGTTGAATGCAAACATCACAAAGACGTTTCTGGGAATGCTTCTGTCTAGATTTGATATGAAGATATTCCCGTTTACAACGAAATCTTCAAATCTATCCAAATGTCCACTTGCAGATTCAACAAAAAGTGTTTTTCAGAACTGCTCTATCAAAAGAAAGATCCACCTCTGTTAGCTGAGTTCACACATCACAAACAAGTTTATGAGAATGCTTCTGTCTAGTTTTTATTTGAAGATATTTCCTTTCTCACCATAGACCTGAAAGCTGTCCTAATGTTCACTTCCAGATACTACAGAAAGAGTGTTTCAAAACTGCTGTACGAAAGGGAATGTTCAACTCTGTGACTTGAATGCACACATCACAAAGAAGTTTCAGAGGAGGCTGCTGTCTACTTTTATACCTAATCCCGTTTCCAACGAAATCCTCCAAGCTATCCAAATATCCACTTGCAGATTCCACAGAAAGACTATTTCAAAACTGCTCTGTCAATAGAAAGGTTCAACTCTGTTAGCTGCGTGCATATATCCCAAAGAAGATTCTGAGATTGCTTCTGTCTAGTTTTTATGGGAAGATATTTCCCTTTTCACCGTAGGTGTCAAGGCGCTCCAAATGTCCACTTCCAGATACTACAAAAAGAGTGTTTCAAACCTACTCTGTGAAAGGGAATATTCAACTCTGTGACTTCAATGCACATATCACAAAGAACTTTCTGAGAATGCTTCTGTCGAGATTTTATATGAAGGTATTCCCGTTTCCAACGAAATCCTGAAATCTATCCAAATATCCCCTCGCAGATTCTACAAAAAGAGTGTTTCAAAACTGCTCTGTGAAAAGAAAGGTTCAACTCTGTTAGTTGAGTACACACATCACAAACAAGTTTCACAGAATGCTTCTTTCTAGCTTGTAGGGGAAGATATTCCCTTTATCACCATGGGCCTCAAACCGTCCAAAACGTCCACTTCCATATACTACAAAAAGAGCGTTTCAAACCTGCTCTATGAAAGGCAATGTTCAACTCTGTGACTTGAATGCAGACATCACAGAGCAGTTTCTGAGAATGCTTCTGTCTAGATTTTATAGGAAGATATTCCCGTTTCCAACGAAATCTTCACAGCTATCCAAATATGCACTTGCAGATTCTACAAAAAGAGTGTATCAAAACTGCTCTGTCAAAAAGAATGTTCTTCTCTGTTAGTTGAGTACATACGTCATAAAGGAGTTTCTGAGAATGTTTCTGTCTAGTGGTTATGGGAAGATATTTGCTTTTTCACCGTAGGCCTCAGTAGCGCTCCAAATATCCACTTGCACATACTACAAAAAGAGTCTTTCAAAGCTGCTCTCTGAAAGGGAATGTTCAACTCTATGAGTTGAATGCAAACATGACAAAGACGTTTCTGAGAATGCTTCTGTCTAGATTTGATATAAAGGTATTCCCGTTTCCAACGAAATCTTCAAATCTATCCAAATGTCCACTTGCAGATTCAACAAAAAGTGTTTTTCAGAACTGCTCTATCAAAAGAAAGATCCACCTCTGTTAGCTGAGTTCACACATCACAAACAAGTTTATGAGAATGCTTCTGTCTAGTTTTTATTTGAAGATATTTCCTTTCTCACCATAGAGCTGAACGCTGTCCTAATGTTCACTTCCAGATACTACAGAAAGAGTGTTTCAAAACTGCTGTACGAAAGGGAATGTTCAACTCTGTGACTTGAATGCACACATCACAAAGAAGTTTCGGAGGATGCTGCTGTCTACTTTTTATATGTAATCCCGTTTCCAACGAAATCCTCCAATCTATCCAAATATCCACTTGCAGATTCCACAGAAAGACTGTTTCAAATCTGCTCTGTCAACAGAAAGATTCAAGTCTGTTAGCTGCGTGCATATATCCCAAAGAAGATTCTGAGATTGCTTCTGTCTAGTTTTTATGGGAAGATATTTCCCTTTTCACCGTAGGCGTCAAGGCGCTCCAAATGTCCACTTCCAGATACTACAAAAAGAGTGTTTCAAACCTACTCTGTGAAAGGGAATATTCAACTCTGTGACTTGAATGCACATATCACAAGGAAGTTTCGGAGAATGCTTCTGTCGAGATTTTATATGAAGATATTCCCGTTTCCAACGAAATGCTGAAATCTATCCAAATATCCCCTCGCAGATTCTACAAAAAGAGTGTTTCAAAACTGCTCCTGTGAAAAGAAAGGTTCAACTACTGTTAGTTGAGTACACACATCACAAACTAGTTTCACAGAATGCTTCTTTCTAGCTTGTAGGGGAAGATATTCCCTAAATCACCATGGGCCTCAAACCGTCCGAAACGTCCACTTCCATATACTACAAAAAGAGTGTTTCAAACCTGCTCTATGAAAGGCAATGTTCAACTCTGTGACTTGAATGCAGACAACACAGAGCAGTTTCTGAGAATGCTTCTGTCTAGATTTTATAGGAAGATATTCCCGTTTCCAACGAAATCTTCACAGCTATCCAAATATCCACTTGCAGATTCTACAAAAAGAGTGTATCAAAACTGCTCTGTCAAAAGGAAGGTTCTTCTCTGTTAGGTGAGTGCATACGTCATAAAGGAGTTTCTGAGAATGTTTCTGTCTAGTGGTTATGGGAAGATGTTTGCTTTTTCACCCTAGGCCTCAGAGCACTCCAATTATCCCCTTGCACATACTACAAAAAGAGTGCTTCAAAGCTGCTCTCTGAAAGGGAATGTTCAACTCTATGAGTTGAATGCAGACATCACAAAGACGTTTCTGGGAATGCTTCTGTCTAGATTTGATATGAAGATATTCCCGTTTCCAACGAAATCTTCAAATCTATCCAAATGTCCACTTGCATATTCAACAAAAAGTGTTTTTCAGAACTGCTCTATCAAAAGAAAGATCCACCTCTGTTAGCTGAGTTCACACATCACAAACAAGTTTATGAGAATGCTTCTGTCTAGTTTTTATTTGAAGATATTTCCTTTCTCACCATAGAGCTGAAAGCTGTCCTAATGTTCACTTCCAGATACTACAGAAAGAGTGTTTCAAAACTGCTGTACGAAAGGGAATGTTCAACTGTGTGACTTGAATGCACACATCACAAAGAAGTTTCTGAGGATGCTGCTGTCTACTTTTTATATGTAATCCCGTTTCCAACGAAATCCTCCAAGCTATCCAAATATCCACTTGCAGATTTAACAGAAAGACTGTTTCAAAACTGCTCTGTCAATAGAAAAGTTCAACTCTGTTAGCTGCGTACATATATCCCAAAGAAGATTCTGAGATTGCTGCTGTCTAGTTTTTATGGGAACATATTTCCTTTTTCACCGTAGGCGTCAAGGCGCTCCAAATGTCCACTTCCAGATACTACAAAAAGAGTGTTTCAAACCTACTGTGTGAAAGGGAATATTCAACTCTTTGATTTGAATGTAGGTATCACAAAAAGTTTCTAAGAATGCTTCTGTCGCGATTTTATATGAAGATATTCCCGTTTCCAACGAAATCCTGAAATCTATCCAAATATCCCCTCGCAGATTCTACAAAAAGAGTGTTTCAAAACTGCTCTGTAAAAAGAAAGGTTCAACTCTGTTAGTTGAGTACACACATCACAAACAAGTTTCACAGAATGCTTCTTTCTAGCTTGTAGGGGAAGATATTCCCTTTATCACCATGGGCCTCAAACCGTCCGAAAAGTCCACTTCCATATACTACAAAAAGAGCGTTTCAAACCTGCTCTATGAAAGGCAATGTTCAACTCTGTGACTTGAAAGCAGACATCACAGAGCAGTTTCTGAGAATGCTTCTGTCTAGATTTTATAGGAAGATATTCCCGTTTACATCGAAATCTTCACAGGTATCCAAATATCCACTTGCAGATTCTACAAAAAGAGTGTATCAAAACTGCTCTGTCAAAAGGAAGGTTCTTCTCTGTTAGGTGAGTGCATACGTCATAAAGGAGTTTCTGAGAATGTTTCTGTCTAGTGTTTATGGGAAGATATTTGCTTTTTCACCGTAGGCCTCAGAGCACTCCAAATATCCCCTTGCACATACTACAAAAAGAGTGCTTCAAAGCTGCTCTCTGAAAGGGAATGTTCAACTCTATGAGTTGAATGCAAACATGACAAAGACGTTTCCGAGAATGCTTCTGTCTAGATTTGATATGAAGATATTCCCGTTTCCAACGAAATCTTCAAATCTATCCAAATGTCCACTTGCAGATTCAACAAAAAGTGTTTTTCAGAACTGCTCTATCAAAAGAAAGGTCCACCTCTGTTAGCTGAGTTCACACATCACAAACAAGTTTATGAGAATACTTCTGTCTAGTTTTTATTTGAAGATATTTCCTTTCTCACCATAGAGCTGAAAGCTGTCCTAATGTTCACTTCCAGATACTACAGAAAGAGTGTTTCAAAACTGCTGTACGAAAGGGAATGTTCAACTCTGTCACTTGAATGCACACATCACAAAGAAGTTTCCTGAGGATGCTGCTGTCTACTTTTTATACGTAATCCTGTTTCCAACGAAATCCTCCAAGCTATCCAAATATCCACTTGCAGATTCCCCAGAAAGACTGTTTCAAAACTGCTCTGTCAATAGAAAGGTTCAACTCTGTTAGCTGCGTGCATATATCCCAAAGAAGATTCTGAGATTGCTTCTGTCTAGTTTTTATGGGAAGATATTTCCCTTTTCACCGTAGGCATCAAGGCGCTCCAAATGTCCACTTCCAGATACTACAAAAAGACTGTTTCAAACCTACTCTGTGAAAGGGAATATTCAACTCTGTGACTTGAATGCACATATCACAAGGAAGTTTCTGAGAATGCTTCTGTCGAGTATTTTATATGAAGATATTCCCGTTTCCAACGAAATGCTGAAATCTATCCAAATATCCCCTCGCAGATTCTACAAAAAGAGTGTTTCAAAACTGCTCTGTAAAAAGAAAGGTTCAACTCTGTTAGTTGAGTACACACATCACAAATAAGTTTCACACAATGCTTCTTTCTAGCTTGTAGGGGAAGATATTCCCTTTATCACCATGGGCCTCAAACCGTCCGAAACGTCCACTTCCATATACTACAAAAAGAGCGTTTCAAACCTGCTCTATGAAAGGCAATGTTCAACTCTATGACTTGAATGCAGACATCACAGAGCAGTTTCTGAGAATGCTTCTGTCTAGATTTTATAGGAAGATATTCCCGTTTCCAACGAAATCTTCACAGCTATCCCAATATCCACTTGCAGATTCTACAAAAAGAGTATCTCAAAACTGCTCTGTCAAAAGGAAGGTTCTTCTCTGTTAGGTGAGTGCATACGTCATAAAGGAGTTTCTGAGAATGTTCCTGTCTAGTGGTTATGGGAAGATATTTGCTTTTTCCCCGTAGGCCTCAAAGCGCTCCAAATGTCCACTTGCACATACTACAAAAAGAGTGCTTCAAAGCTGCTCTCTGAAAGGGAATGTTCAACTCTATGAGTTGAATGCTAACATCACAAAGACGTTTCTGAGAATGCTTCTGTCTAGATTTAATATGAAGATATTCCCGTTTCCAACGAAATCTTCAAATCTATCCAAATATCCACTTGCAGATTCAACAAAAAGTGTTTTTCAGAACTGCTCTATCAAAAGAAAGATCCACCTCTGTTAGCTGAGATCACACTTCACAAACAAGTTTATCAGAATGCTTCTGTCTAGTTTTTATTTGAAGATATTTCCTTTCTCACCATAGACCTGAAAGCTGTCCTAATGTTCACTTCCAGATACTACAGAAAGAGTGTTTCAAAACTGCTGTACGAAAGGGAATGTTCAACTCTGTGACTTGAATGCACACATCACAAAGAAGTTTGCTGAGGATGCTGCTGTCTACTTTTTATACGTAATCCCGTTTCCAACGAAATCCTCCAAGCTATCCAAATATCCACTTGCAGATTCCACAGAAAGACTGTTTCAAAACTGCTCTGTCAATAGAAAGGTTCAACTCTGTTAGCTGCGTGCATATATCCCAAAAAAGATTCTGAGATTGCTTCTGTCTAGTTTTTATGGGAAGATATTTCCCTTTTCACCGTAGGCGTCAAGGCGCTCCAAATGTCCACTTCCAGATACTACAAAAAGAGTGTTTCAAACCTACTCTGTGAAAGGGAATATTCAACTCTGTGACTTGAATGCACATATCACAAAGAAGTTTCTGAAAATGCTTCTGTCGAGATTTTATATGAAGATACTCCCGTTTCCAACGAAATCCTGAAATCTATCCAAATATCCCCTCGCAGATTCTACAAAAAGAGTGTTTCAAAACTGCTCTGTAAAAGGAAAGGTTCAACTCTGTTAGTTGAGTACACACATCACAAACAAGTTTCACAGAATGCTTCTTTCTAGCTTGCAGGGGAAGATATTCCCTTTATCACCATGGGCCTCAAACCGTCCGAAACGTCTACTTCCATATACTACAAAAAGAGCGTTTCAAACCTGCTCTATGAAAGGCAATGTTCAACTCTGTGACTTGAATGCAGACATCACAGATCAGTTTCTGAGAATGCTTCTGTCTAGATTTTATAGGAAGATATTCCCGTTTCCAACGAAATCTTCACAGCTATCCAAATATGCACTTGCAGATTCTACAAAAAGAGTGTATCAAAACTGCTCAGTCAAAAAGAAGGTTCTTCTCTGTTAGTTGAGTACATACGTCATAAAGGAGTTTCTGAGAATGTTTTCTGTCTAGTGGTTATGGGAAGATATTTGCTTTTTCCCCGTAGGCCTCAGGGCGCTCCAAATATCCACTTGCACATGCTACAAAAAGAGTGCTTCAAAGCTGCTCTCTGAAACGGAATGTTCAACTCTATGAGTTGAATGCAAACATCGCAAAGACGTTTCTGAGAATGCTTCTGTCTAGATTTGATATGAAGATATTCCCGTTTCCAACGAAATCTTCAAATCTATCCAAATGTCCTCTTGCAGATTCAACAAAAAGTGTTTTTCAGAACTGCTCTATCAAAAGAAAGATCCACCTCTGTTAGCTGAGTTCACACATCACAAACAAGTTTATGAGAGTGCTTCTGTCTAGTTTTGATTTGAAGATATTTCCTTTCTCACCATAGAGCTGAAAGCTGTCCTAATGTTCACTTCCAGATACTACAGAAAGAGTGTTTCAAAACTGCTGTACGAAAGGGAATGTTCAACTCTGTGACTTGAATGCACACATCACAAAGAAGTTTCTGAGGATGCTGCTGTGTACTTTTGATACGTAATCCCGTTTCCAACGAAATCCTCCAAGCTATCGAAATATCCACTTGCAGATTCCACAGAACGACTGTTTCAAAACTGCTCTGTAAATAGAAATGTTCAACTCTGTTAGCTGCGTGCATATATCCCAAAGAAGATTCTGAGATTGCTTCTGTCTAGTTTTTATGGGAAGATATTTCCCTTTTCACCGTAGGTGTCAAGGCGCTCCAAATGTCCAATTCCAGATACTACAAAAAGAGTGTTTCAAACCTACTCTGTGAAAGGGAATATTCAACTCTGTGACTTGAATGCACATATCACAAAGAAGTTTCTGACAATGCTTCTGTCGAGATTTTATATGAAGATATTCCCGTTTCCAACGAAATCCTGAAATCTATCCAAATATCCCCTCGCAGATTCTACAAAAAGAGTGTTTCAAAACTGCTCTGTGAAAAGAAAAGTTCAACTCTGTTAGTTGAGTACACACATCACAAACAAGTTTCACAGAATGCTTCTTTCTAGCTTGTAGGGGAAGATATTCCCTTTATCACCATGGGCCTCAAACCGTCCGAAACGTCTACTTCCATATACTACAAAAAGAGCGTTTCAAACCTGCTCTATGAAAAGCAATGTTCAACTCTGTGACTTGAATGCAGATATCACAGAGCAGTTTCTGAGAATGCTTCTGTCTAGATTTTATAGGAAGATATTCCCGTTTCCAACGAAATCTTCACAGCTATCCAAATATCCACTTGCAGATTCTACAAAAAGAGTGTATCAAAACTGCTCTGTCAAAAGGAAGGTTCTTCTCTTATAGGTGAGTGCATAGGTCATAAAGGAGTTTCTGAGAATGTTTCTGTCTAGTGGTTATGGGAAGATATTTGCTTTTTCACCGTAGGCCTCAGGGCGCTCCAAATATCCACTTGCACATACTACAAAAAGAGTGCCTCAAAGCTGCTCTCTGAAACGGAATGTTCAACTCTATGAGTTGAATGCAAACATCGCAAAGACGTTTCTGAGAATGCTTCTGTCTAGATTTGATATGAAGATATTCCCGTTTCCAACGAAATCTTCAAATCTATCCAAATGTCCACTTGCAGATTCAACAAAAAGTGTTTTTCAGAACTGCTCTATCAAAAGAAAGATCCACCTCTGTTAGCTGAGTTCACACATCACAAAACAAGTTTATGAGAATGCTTCTGTCTAGTTTTTATTTGAAGATATTTCCTTTCTCACCATAGACCTGAAAGCTGTCCTAGTGTTCACTTCCAGTTACTACAGAAAGAGTGTTTCAAAACTGCTGTACGAAAGGGAATGTTCAACTCTGTGACTTGAATGCACACATCACAAAGAAGTTTCTGAGGATGCTGCTGTCTACTTTTTATACTTAATCCCGTTTCCAACGAAATCCTCCAAGCTGTCCAAATATCCACTTGCAGATTCCACAGAAAGACTGTTTCAAAACTGCTCTGTCAATAGAAAGGTTCAACTCTGTTAGCTGCGTGCATATATCCCAAAGAAGATTCTGAGATTGCTTCTGTCTAGTTTTTATGGGAAGATATTTCCCTTTTCACCGTAGGCGTCCAGGCGCTCCAAATGTCCACTTCCAGATACTACAAAAAGAGTGTTTCAAACCTACTCTATGAAAGGGAATATTCAACTCTGTGACTTGAATGCACATATCACAAGGAAGTTTCTGAGAATGCTTCTGTCGAGATTTTATATGAAGATATTCTCGTTTACAACGAAATCCTGAAATCTATCCAAATATCCCCTCGCAGATTCTACAAAAAGAGTGTTTCAAAACTGCTCTGTAAAAAGAAAGGTTCAACTCTGTTAGTTGAGTACACACATCACAAACAAGTTTCACACAATGCTTCTTTCTAGCTTGTAGGGGAAGATATTCCCTTTATCACCATGGGTCTCAAACCGTCCGAAACGTCTACTTCCATATACTACAAAAAGAGCGTTTCAAACCTGCTCTATGAAAGGCAATGTTCAACTCTGTGACTTGAATGCAGACATCACAGAGCAGTTTCTGAGAATGCTTCTGTCTAGATTTTATAGGAAGATATTCCCGTTTCCAACGAAATCTTCACAGCTATCCAAATATCCACTTGCAGATTCTACAAAAAGAGTGTATCAAAACTGCTCTGTCAAAAGGAAGGTTCTTTTCTGTTAGGTGAGTGCATACGTCATAAAGGAGTTTCTGAGAAGGTTTCTGTCTAGTGGTTATGGGAAGATATTTGCTTTTTCACCGTAGGCCTCGGAGCGCTCCAAATATCCACTTGCACATACTACAAAAAGAGTGTTTCAAACCTGCTCTCTGAAACGGAATGTTCAACTCTATGAGTTGAATGCAAACATCACAAAGACGTTTCTGAGAATGCTTCTGTCTAGATTTGATATGAAGATATTCCCGTTTCCAACGAAATCTTCAAATCTATCCAAATGTCCACTTGCAGATTCAAAAAAAAGTGTTTTTCAGAACTGCTCTATCAAAAGAAAGATCCACCTCTGTTAGCTGAGTTCACACATCACAAACAAGTTTATGAGAATGCTTCTGTCTAGTTTTTATTTGAAGATATTTCCTTTCTCACCATAGAGCTGAAAGCTGTCCTAATGTTCACTTCCAGATACTACAGAAAGAGTGTTTCAAAACTGCTGTACGAAAGGGAATGTTCAACTCTGTGACTTGAATGCACACATCACAAAGAAGTTTCTGAGTATGCTGCTGTCTACTTTTTATACTTAATCCCGTTTCCAACGAAATCCTCCAAGCTATCCAAATATCCACTTGCAGATTCCACAGAAAGACTGTTTCAAAACTGCTCTGTCAATAGAAAGGTTCAACTCTGTTAGCTGCGTGCATATATCCTAAAGAAGATTCTGAGATTGCTTCTGTCTACTTTTTATGAGAAGATATTTCCCTTTTCAACGTAGGCGTCAAGGCGCTCCAAATGTCCACTTCCAGATACTACAAAAAGAGTGTTTCAAACCTACTCTGTGAAAGGGAATATTCAACTCTGTGACTTGAATGCACATATCACAAAGAAGCTTCTGAGAATGCTTCTGTCGAGATTTTATATGAAGATATTCCCGTTTCCAACGAAATCCTGAAATGTATCCAAATATCCCCTCGCAGATTCTACAAAAAGAGTGTTTCAAAACTGCTCTGTAAAAAGAAAGGTTCAACTCTGTTAGTTGAGTACGCACATCACAAACAAGTTTCACAGAATGCTTCTTTCTAGCTTGTAGGGGAAGATATTCCCTTTATCACCATGGGCCTCAAACCGTCCGAAACATCCAGTTCCATATACTACAAAAAGAGCGTTTCAAACCTGCTCTAGGAAAGGCAATGTTCAACTCTGTGACTTGAATGCAGACATCACAGAGCAGTTTCTGAGAATGCTTCTGTCTAGATTTTATAGGAAGATATTCCCGTTTCCAACGAAATCTTCACAGCTATCCAAATATCCACTTGCAGATTCTGCAAAAAGAGTGTATCAAAAGTGCTCAGTCAAAAGGAAGGTTCTTCTCTGTTAGGTGAGTGCATACGTCATAAAGGAGTTTCTGAGAATGTTTCTGTCTAGTGGTTATGGGAAGGATATTTGCTTTTTCACCGTAGGCCTCAGAGCGCTCCAAATATCCACTTGCACATACTACAAAAAGAGTGCCTCAAAGCTGCTCTCTGAAACGGAATGTTCAACTCTATGAGTTGAATGCAAACATCGCAAAGACGTTTCTGAGAATGCTTCTGTCTAGCATTTGATATGAAGATATTCCCGTTTCCAACGAAATCTTCAAATCTATCCAAATGTCCACTTGCAGATTCAACAAAAAGTGTTTTTCAGAACTGCTCTATCAAAAGAAAGATCCACCTCTGTTAGCTGAGTTCACACATCACAAACAAATTTATGAGAATGCTTCTCTCAAGTTTTTATTTGAAGATATTTCCTTTCTCACCATAGACCTGAAAGCTGTCCTAATGTTCACTTCCAGATACTACAGAAAGAGTGTTTCAAAACTGCTGTACGAAAGGGAATGTTCAACTCTGTGACTTGAATGCACACATCACAAAGAAGTTTCTGAGGATGCTGCTGTCTACTTTTTATACGTAATCCCGTTTCCAAAGATATCCTCCAAGCTATCCAAATATCCACTTGCAGATTCCACAGTAAGACTGTTTCAAAACTGCTCTGTCAATAGAAAGGTTCAACTCTGTTAGCTGCATGCATATATCCCAAAGAAGATTCTGAGATTGCTTCTGTCTAGTTTTATGGGAAGATATTTCCCTTTTCACCGTGGGCGTCAAGGCGCTCCAAATGACCACTTCCAGATACTACAAAAAGAGTGTTTCAAACCTACTCTGTGAAAGGGAATATTCAACTCTGTGACTTGAATGCACATATCACAAGGAAGTTTCTGAGAATGCTTCTGTCGAGATTTTATATGAAGATCTTCCCGTTTCCAACGAAATCCTGAAATCTATCCAAATATCCCCTCGCAGATTCTACAAAAAGAGTGTTTCAAAACTGCTCTGTAAAAAGAAAGGTTCAACTCTGTTAGTTGAGTACACACATCACAAACAAGTTTCACAGAATGCTTCTTTCTAGCTTGTAGGGGAAGATATTCCCTTTATCACCATGGGCCTCAAACCGTCCGAAACGTCCACTTCCATATACTACAAAAAGAGCGCTTCAAACCTGCTCTATGAAAGACAATGTTCAACTCTGTGACTTGAATGCAGACATCACAGAGCAGTTTCTGAGAATGCTTCTGTCTAGATTTTATAGGAAGATATTCCCGTTTCCAACGAAATCTTCACAGCTATCCAAATATAAACTTGCAGATTCTACAAAAAGAGTGTATCAAAACTGCTCTGTCAAAAGGAAGGTTCTTCTCTGTTAGGTGAGTGCATACGTCATAAAGGAGTTTCTGAGAATGTTTCTGTCTAGTGGTTATGGGAAGATATTTGCTTTTTCACCTTAGGCCTCAGAGCGCTCAAAATATCCCCTTGCACATACTACAAAAAGAGTGCTTCAAAGCTGCTCTCTGAAACGGAATGTTCAACTCTATGAGTTGAATGCCAACATCACAAAGACGTTTCTGAGAATGCTTCTGTCTAGATTTGATATGAAGATATTCCCGTTTCCAACGAAATCTTCAAATCTATCCAAATGTCCACTTGCAGATTCAACAAAGTGTTTTTCAGAATTGCTCTATCAAAAGAAAGATCCACCTCTGTTAGCTGAGTTCACACTTCACAAACAAGTTTATCAGAATGCTTCTGTCTAGTTTTTATTTGAAGATATATCCTTTCTCACGATAGACCTGAAAGCTGTCCTAAAGTTCACTTCCAGATACTACAGAAAGAGTGTTTCAAAACTGCTGTACGAAAGGGAATGTTCAACTCTGTGACTTGAATGCACACATTACAAGGATGTTTCTGAGGATGCTGCTGTCTACTTTTTATACGTAATCCCGTTTCCAACGAAATCCTCCAAGCTATCCAAATATCCACTTGCAGATTCCACAGAAAGACTGTTTCAATACTGCTCTGTCAATAGAAAGGTTCAACTCTGTTAGCTGCGTGCATATATCCCAAAGAAGATTCTGAGATTGCTTCTGTCTAGTTTTTATGGGAAGATATTTCCCTTTTCACCGTAGGCGTCAAGGCGCTCCAAATGTCCACTTCCAGATACAACAAAAAGAGTGTTTCAAACGTACTCTGTGAAAGGGAATATTCAACTCTGTGACTTGAATGCACATATCACAAAGAAGTTTCTGAAAATGCTTCTGTCGAGATTTTATATGAAGATATTCCCGTTTCCAACGAAATCCTGAAATCTATCCAAATATCCCCTCGCAGATTCTACAGAAAGAGTGTTTCAAAACTGCTCTGTAAAAAGAAAGGTTCAACTCTGTTACTTGAGTACACACATCACAAACAAGTTTCACAGAATGCTTCTTTCTAGCTTGTAGGGGAAGATATTCCCTTTATCACCATGGGCCTCAAACCGTCCGAAACATCCACTTCCATATACTACAAAAAGAGCGTTTCAAACCTGCTCTATGAAAGGCAATGTTCAACTCTGTGACTTGAATACAGACATCACAGAGCAGTTTCTGAGAATGCTTCTGTCTAGATATTATAGGAGGATATTCCCGTTTCCAACGAAATCTTCACAGCTATCCAAATATCCACTTGCAGATTCTACAAAAAGAGTGTATCAAAACTGCTCTGTCAAAAGGAAGGTTCTTCTCTGTTAGGTGAGTGCATACGTCATAAAGGAGTTTCTGAGAATGTTTCTGTCTAGTGGTTATGGGAAGATATTTGCTTTTTCACCGTGGGCCTCAGAGCGCTCAAAATATCCACTTGCACATACTACAAAAAGAGTGCTTCAAAGCTGCTCTCTGAAACGGAATGTTCAACTCTATGAGTTGAATGCAAACATCACAAAGACGTTTCTGAGAATGCTTCTGTCTAGATTTGATATGAAGATATTCCCGTTTCCAACGAAATCTTCAAATCTATCCAGATGTCCACTTGCAGATTCAACAAAAAGTGTTTTTCAGAACTGCTCTATCAAAAGAAAGATCCACCTCTGTTAGCTGAGTTCACACATCACAAACAAGTTTATGAGAATGCTTCTGTCTAGTTTTTATTTGAAGATATTTCCTTTCTCACCATAGACCTGAAAGCTGTCCTAATGTTCACTTCCAGATACTACAGAAAGAGTGTTTCAAAACTGCTGTACGAAAGGGAATGTTCAACTCTGGGACTTGAATGCACACATCACAAAGAAGTTTCTGAGGATGCGGCTGTCTACTTTTTATACTTAATCCCGTTTCCAACGAAATCCTCCAAGCTATCCAAATATCCACTTGCAGATTCCACAGAAAGACTGTTTCAAAACTGCTCTGTCAATAGAAAGGTTCAACTCTGTTAGCTGCGTGCATGTATCCCAAAGAAGATTCTGAGATTGCTTCTGTCTAGTTTTTATGGGAAGATATTTCCCTTTTCACCGTAGGTGTCAAGGCACTCCAAATGTCCACTTCCAGATACTACAAAAAGAGTGTTTCAAACCTACTCTGTGAAAGAGAATATTCAACTCTGTGACTTGAATGCACATATCACAAAGAAGTTTCTGAGAATGCTTCTGTCGAGATTTTGTATGAAGATATTCCCGTTTCCAACGAAATCCTGAAATCTATCCAAATATCCCCTCGCAAATTCTACAAAAAGAGTGTTTCAAAACTGCTCTGTGAAAAGAAAGGTTCAACTCTGTTAGTTGAGTACACACATCACAAACAAGTTTCACAGAATGCTTCTTTCTAGCTTGTAGGGGAAGATATTCCCTTTATCACCATGGGCCTCCAACCGTCCGAAACATCCACTTCCATATACTACAAAAAGAGCGTTTCAAACCTGCTCTATGAAAGGCAATGTTCAACTCTGTGACTTGAATACAGACATCACAGAGCAGTTTCTGAGAATGCTTCTGTGTAGATTTTATAGGAAGATATTTCCGTTTCCAACGAAACCTTCACAGCTATCCAAATATCCACTTGCAGATTCTACAAAAAGAGTGTATCAAAACTGCTCTGTCAAAAGGAAGATTCTTCTCTGTTAGTTGAGTACATACGTCATAAAGGAGTTTCTGAGAATGTTTCTGTCTACTGGTTACGGGAAGATATTTGCTTTTGCACCTTAGGCCTCAGAGCGCTCCAAATATCCACTTGCACATACTACAAAAAGAGTGCTTCAAAGCTGCTCTCTGAAACGGAATGTTCAACTCTATGAGTTGAATGCCAACATCACAAAGACGTTTCTGAGAATGCTTCTGTCTAGATTTGATATGAAGATATTCCCGTTTCCAACGTAATCTTCAAATCTATCCAAATGTCCCCTTGCAGATTCAACAAAGTGTTTTTCAAAACTGCTGTACCAAAGAAAGATCCACCTCTGTTAGCTGAGTTCACACATCACAAACAAGTTTATCAGAATGCTTCTGTCTAGTTTTTATTTGAAGATATTTCCTTTCTCACCATAGAGCTGAAAGCTGTCCTAATGTTCACTTCCAGATACTACAGAAAGAGTGTTTCAAAACTGCTGTACGAAAGGGAATGTTCAACTCTGGGACTTGAATGCACACATCACAAAGAAGTTTCGGAGGATGCTGCTGTCTACTTTTTATACGTAATCCCGTTTCCAACGAAATCCTCCAAGCTATCCAAATATCCAATTGCAGATTCCACAGAAAGACTGTTTCAAAACTGCTCTGTCAATAGAAAGGTTCAACTCTGTTAGCTGCGTGCATATATCCCAAAGAAGATTCTGAGATTGCTTCTGTCTAGTTTTTATGGGAAGATATTTCCCTTTTTACCGTAGGCGTCAAGGCGCTCCAAATGTCCACTTCCAGATACTACAAAAAGAGTTTTTCAAACCTACTCGGTGAAAGGGAATATTCAACTCTGTGACTTGAATGCAGATATCACAAAGAAGTTTCTGAGAATGCTTCTGTCGAGATTTTATATGAAGATATTCCCGTTTCCAACGAAATCCTGAAATCTATCCAAATATCCGCTCGCAGATTCTACAAAAAGAGTGTTTCAAAACTGCTCTGTGAAAAGAAAGGTTCAACTCTGTTAGTTGAGTACACACATCAGAAACAAGTTTCACAGAATGCTTCTTTCTAGCTAGTAGGGGAAGATATTCCCTTTATCACCATGGGCCTTAAACCGTCCGAAACGTCCACTTCCATATACTACAAAAAGAGCGTTTCAAACCTGCTCTATGAAAGGCAATGTTCAACTCTGTGACTTGAATGCAGACATCACAGAGCAGTTTCTGAGAATGCTTCTGTCTAGATTTTATAGGAAGATATTCCCGTTTCCAATGAAATCTTCACAGCTATCCAAATATCCACTTGCAGATTCTACAAAAAGAGTGTATCAAAACTGCTCTGTCAAAAGGAAGGTTCTTCTCTGTTAGGTGAGTGCGTACGTCATAAAGGAGTTTCTGAGAATGTTTCTGTCTAGTGGTTATGGGAAGATATTTGCTTTTTCACCTTAGGCCTCAGAGCGCTCCAAATATCCCCTTGCACATACTACAAAAAGAGTGCTTCAAAGCTGCTCTCTGAAAGGGAATGTTCAACTCTATGAGTTGAATGCAAACATCACAAAGACGTTTCTGAGAATGCTTCTGTCTAGATTTGATATGAAGATATTCCCGTTTCCAATGAAATCTTCAAATCTATCCGAATGTCCACTTGCAGATTCAACAAAAAGTGTTTTTCAGAACTGCTCTATCAAAAGAAAGATCCACCTCTGTTAGCTGAGTTCACACATCACAAACAAGTTTATGAGAATGCTTCTGTCTAGTTTTTATTTGAAGATATTTCCTTTCTCACCATAGACCTGAAAGCTGTCCTAATGTTCACTTCCAGATACTACAGAAAGAGTGTTTCAAAACTGCTGTACGAAAGGGAATGTTCAACTCTGTGACTTGAATGCACACATCCCAAAGAAGTTTCTGAGGATGCTGCTGTCTACTTTTTATACGTAATCCCGTTTCCAACGAAATCCTCCAAGCTATCCCAATATCCACTTGCAGATTCCACAGAAAGACTGTTTCTAAACTGCTGTGTCAATAGAAAGGTTCAACTCTGTTAGCTGCGTGCATATATCCCAAAGAAGATTCTGAGATTGCTTCTGTCTAGTTTTTATGGGAAGATATTTCCCTTTTCACCGTAGGTGTCAAGGCGCTCCAAATGTCCACTTCCAGATACTATAAAAAGAGTGTTTCAAACCTACTCTGTGAAAGGGAATATTCAACTCTGTGACTTGAATGCAGATATCACAAAGAAGTTTCTGAGAATGCTTCTGTCGAGATTTTATATGAAGATATTCCCGTTTCCAACGAAATCCTGAAATCTATCCAAATATCCCCTCGCAGATTCTACAAAAATAGTGTTTCAAAACTACTCTGTAAAAAGAAAGGTTCAACACTGTTAGTTGAGTACACACATCACAAACAAGTTTCACAGAATGCTTCTTTCTAGCTTGTAGGGGAAGATATTCCCTTTATCACCATGGGCCTCAAACCGTCCGAAACCTCCAGTTACATATACTACAAAAAGAGCGTTTCAAACCTGCTCTATGAAAGGCAATGTTCAACTCTGTGACTTGAATGCAGACATCACAGAGCTGTTTCTGAGAATACTTCTGTCTAGATTTTATAGGAAGATATTCCCGTTTCCAACGAAATCTTCACAGCTATCCAAATATCCACTTGCAGATTCTACAAAAAGAGTGTATCAAAACTGCTCTGTCAAAAGGAAGGTTCTTCTCTGTTAGTTGAGTATATACGTCATAAAGGAGTTTCTGAGAATGTTTCTGTCTAGTGGTTATGGGAAGATATTTGCTTTTTCACCGTAGGCCTCAGAGCGCTCCAAATATCCACTTGCACATACTACAAAAAGAGTGCTTCAAAGCTGGTCTCTGAAACGGAACGTTCAACTCTATGAGTTGAATGCAAACATCACAAAGACGTTTCTGAGAATGCTTCTGTCTAGATTTGATATGAAGATATTCCCGTTTCCAACGAAATCTTCAAATCTATCCAAATGTCCACTTGCAGATTCAACAAAAAGTGTTTTTCAGAACTGCTCTATCAAAAGAAAGATCCACCTCTGTTAGCTGAGTTTACACATCACAAACAAGTTTATGAGAATGCTTCTGTCTAGTTTTTATTTGAAGATATTTCCTTTCTCACCATAGACCTGAAAGCTGTCCAAATGTTCACTTCCAGATGCTACAGAAAGAGTGTTTCAAAACTGTTGTACGAAAGGGAATGTTCAACTCTGTGACTTGAATGCACACATCACAAAGAAGTTTCTGAGGATGCTGCTGTCTAATTTTTATACGTAATCCCGTTTACAACGAAATCCTCCAAGCTATCCAAATATGCACTTGCAGATTCCACAGAAAGACTGTTTCAAAACTGCTCTGTCAATAGAAAGGTTCAACTCTGTTAGCTGCGTGCATATATCCCAAAGAAGATTCTGAGATTGCTTCTGTCTAGTTTTTATGGGAAGATATTTCCCTTTTCACCGTAGGTGTCAAGGCGCTCAAAATGTCCACTTCCAGATACTACAAAAAGAGTGTTTCAAACCTACTCTGTGAAAGGGAATATTCAACTCTGTGACTTGAATGCAGATATCACAAAGAAGTTTCTGAGAATGCTTCTGTCGAGATTTTATATGAAGATATTCCCGTTTCCAACGAAATCCTGAAATCTATCCAAATATCCCCACGCAGATTCTACAAAAAGAGTGTTTCAAAACTGCTCTGTAAAAAGAAAGGTTCAACTCTGTTAGATGAGTACACACATCACAAACAAGTTTCACAGAATGCTTCTTTCTAGCTTGTATGGGAAGATATTCCCTTTATCACCATGGGCCTCAAACCGTCCGAAACGTCCACTTCCATATACTACAAAAAGAGTGTTTCAAACCTGCTCTATGAACGGCAATGTTCAACTCTGTGACTTGAATCCAGACATCACAGAGCAGTTTCTGAGAATGCTTCTGTCTAGATTTTATAGGAAGATATTCCCGTTTCCAACGAAATCTTCACAGCTATCCAAATATCCACTTGCAGATTCTACAAAAAGAGTGTATCAAAACTGCTCTGTCAAAAGGAAGGTTCTTCTCTGTTAGTTGAGTACATATGTCATAAAGGAGTTTCTGAGAATGTTTCTGTCTAGTGGTTATGGGAAGATATTTGCTTTTTCACCTTAGGCCTCAGAGCGCTCCATATATCCCCTTGCACATACTACAAAAAGAGTGCTTCAAAGCTGCTCTCTGAAAGGGAATGTTCAACTCTATGAGTTGAATGCAAACATCACAAAGACGTTTCTGAGAATGCTTCTGTCTAGGTTTGATATGAAGATATTCCCGTTTCCAACGAAATCTTCAAATCTATCCAAATGTCCACTTGCGGATTCAACAAAAAGTGTTTTTCAGAACTGCTCTATCAAAAGAAAGATCCACCTCTCTTAGCTGAGTTCACACATCACAAACAAGTTTATGAGAATGCTTCTGTCTAGTTTTTATTTGAAGATATTTCCTTTCTCACCATAGAGCTGAAAGCTGTCCTAATGTTCACTTCCAGATACTACAGAAAGAGTGTTTCAAAACTGCTGTACGAAAGGGAATGCTCAACTCTGTGACTTGAATGCACACATCACAAAGAAGTTTCTGAGGATGCTGCTGTCTACTTTTTATACGTAATCCCGGTTTCCAAAGAAATCCTCCAAGCTATCCAAATATCCACTTGCAGATTCCACAGAAGGACTGTTTCTAAACTGCTCTGTCAATAGAAAGGTTCAACTCTGTTAGCTGCGTGCATATATCCCAAAGAAGATTCTGAGATTGCTTCTGACTAGTTTTTATTGGAAGATATTTCCTTTTTCACCATAGGCATCAAAGCGCTCCAAATTTCCACTTCCAGATACTACAAAAAAAGAGTGTTTCAAACCTACTGTGTGGAAGGGAATATTTAACTCGGTGACTTCAATGCACATATCACAGAGAAGTTTCTGAGAATGCTTCTGTCGAGATTTTATATGAAGATATTCCCCTTTCCAACGAAATCCTGAAATCTATCCAAATATGCCCTCGCAGATTCTACAAAAAGAGTGTTTCAAAACTGCTCTGTAAAAAGAAAGGTTCAACTCCTGTGAGTTGAGTACACACATCACAAACAAGTTTCACAGAATGCTTCTTTCTAGCTTGTAGGGGAAGATATTCCCTTTATCACCATGGGCCTCAAACCGTCCGAAAAGTCCACTTCCATATACTACAAAAAGAGCGTTTCAAACCTGCTCTATGAAAGGCAATGTTCAACTCTGTGACTTGAATGCAGACATCACAGAGCAGTTTCTGAGAATGCTTCTGTCTAGATTTTATAGGAAGATATTCCCGTTTCCAACGAAATCTTCACAGCTATCCAAATATCCACTTGCAGATTCTACAAAAAGATTGTATCAAAACTGCTCTGTCAAAAGGAAGGTTCTTTTCTGTTAGGTGAGTGCATACGTCATAAAGGAGTTTCTGAGAATGTTTCTGTCTAGTGGTTATGGGAAGATATTTGCTTTATCACCGTAGGCCTCAGAGCGCTCCAAATATCCGCTTGCACATACTACAAAAAGAGTGCTTCAAAGCTGCTCTCTGAAACGGAATGTTCAACTCTATGAGTTGAATGCAAACATCACAAAGACGTTTCTGAGATTGCTTCTATCTAGATTTGATATGAAGAAATTCCCGTTTCCAACGAAATCTTCAAATCTATACAAATGTCCACTTGCAGATTCAACAAAGTGTTTTTCAGAACTGCTCTATCAAAAGAAAGATCCACCTCTGTTAGCTGAGATCACACTTCACAAACAAGTTTATCAGAATGCTTCTGTCTAGTTTTTATTTGAAGATATTTCCTTTCTCACCATAGACCTGAAAGCTGTCCTAATGTTCACTTCCAGATGCTACAGAAAGAGTCTTTCAAAACTGGTGTACAAAAGGGAATGTTCAAATCTGTGACTTGAATGCACACATCACAAAGAAGTTTCTGAGGATGCTGCTGTCTACTTTTTATGCGTAATCCCGTTTCCAACGAAATCCTCCAAGCTATCCAAATATCCACTTGCAGATTCCACAGAAAGACTGTTTCAAAACTGCTCTGTCAATAGAAAGGTGCAAATCTGTTAGCTGCGTGCATATATCCCAAAGAAGATTCTGAGATTGCTTCTGTCTAGTTTTTATGAGAAGATATTTCCCTTTTCACCGTAGGTGTCAAGGCGATCCAAATGTCCACTTCCAGATACTACAAAAGGAGTGTTTCAAACCTACTCTGTGAAAGGGAATATTCAACTCTGTGACTTGAATGCAGATATCACAAAGAAGTTTCTGAGAATGCTTCTGTCGAGATTTTATATGAAGATATTCCCGTTTCCAACGAAATCCTGAAATCTATCCAAATATCCCCTCGCAGATTCTACAAAAAGAGTGTTTCAAAACTGCTCTGTAAAAAGAAAGGTTCAACTCTGTTAGTTGAGTACACACATCACAAACAAGTTTCACAGAATTCTTCTTTCTAGCTTGTAGGGGAAGATATTCCCTTTATCACCATGGGCCTCAAACCCTCCGAAACGTCCACTTCCATATACTACAAAAAGAGCGTTTCAAACCTGCTCTATGAAAGGCAATGTTCAACTCTGTGACTTGAATGCAGACATCACAGAGCAGTTTCTGAGAATGCTTCTGTCTAGGTTTTATAGGAAGATATTCCCGTTTCCAACGAAATCTTCACAGCTATCCAAATATCCACTTGCAGACAGTACAAAAAGAGTGTATCAAAAATGCTCCGTCAAAAGGAAAGTTCTTCTCTGTCAGTTGAGTACATACGTCATAAAGGAGTTTTTGAGAATGTTTCTGTCTAGTGGTTATGGGAAGATATTTGCTTTTTCACCGTAGGCCTCAGAGCGCTCCAAATATCCGCTTGCACATACTACAAAAAGAGTGCTTCAAAGCTGCTCTCTGAAACGGAATGTTCAACTCTAAGAGTTGAATGCAAACATGACAAAGACGTTTCTGACAATGCTTCTGTCTAGATTTGATATGAAGATATTCCCGTTTCCAACGAAATCTTCAAATCTATCCAAATGTCCACTTGCAGATTCAACAAAAAGTGTTTTTCAGAACTGCTCTATCAAAAGAAAGATCCACGTGCGTTAGCTGAGTTCACACATCACAAACAAGTTTATGAGAATGCTTCTGTCTAGTTTTTATTTGAAGATATTTCCTTTCTGACCATAGCCCTGAAAGCTGTACTAATGTTCACTTCCAGATACTACAGAAAGAGTGTTTCAAAACTGCTGTACGAAAGGGAATGTTCAACTCTGTGACTTGAATGCACACATCACAAAGAAGTTTCTGAGGATGCTGCTGTCTACTTTTTATACGTAATCCCGTTTCCAACGAAACCCTCCAAGCTATCCAAATATCCACTTGCAGATTCCACAGAAAGACTGTTTCAAAACTGCTCTGTCAATAGAAAGGTTCAACTCTGTTAGCTGCGTGCATATATCCCAAAGAAGATTCTGAGATTGCTTCTGTCTAGTTTTTATGGGAAGATATTTCCCTTTTCACCGTAGGCGTCAAGGCGCTCCAAATGTCCACTTCCAGATACTACAAAAAGAGTGTTACAAACCTACTCTGTGAAAGGGAATATTCAACTCTGTGACTTGAAGGCAGATATCACAAAGAAGTTTCTGAGAATGCTTCTGTCGAGATTTTATATGAAGTTATTCCCGTTTCCAACGAAATCCTGAAACCTATGCAAATATCCCCTCGCAGATTCTACAAAAAGAGTTTTCCAAAACAGCTCTGTAAAAAGAAAGGTTCACCGCTGTTAGTTGAATACACACATCACAAACTAGTTTCTCAGAATGCTTCTTTCTAGCTTGTATGGGAAGATATTCCCTTTATGACCATGGGCCTCAAACCGTCCGAAACGTCCACTTTTATATACTACAAAAAGAGCGTTTCAAACCTGCTCTATGAAAGGCAATGTTCAACTCTGTGACTTGAATGCAGACATCACAGAGCAGTTTCTGAGAATGCTTCTGTCTAGATTTTATAGGAATATATTCCCGTTTCCAACGAAATCTTCACAGCTATCCAAATATCCACTTGCAGATTCTACAAAAAGAGTGTATCAAAACTGCTCTGTCAAAAGGAAGGTTCTTCTCTGTTAGGTGAGTGCATACGTCATAAAGGAGTTTCTGAGAATGTTTCTGTCTAGTGGTTATGGGAAGATATTTGCTTTTTCACCGTAGGCCTCAGAGCGCTCCAAATATCCACTTGCACATACTACAAAAAGAGTGCTTCAAAGCTGGTCTCTGAAACGGAATGTTCAACTCTATGAGTTGAATGCAAACATCGCAAAGACGTTTCTGAGAATGCTTCTGTCTAGATTTGATATGAAGATATTCCCGTTTCCAACGAAATCTTCATATCTATCCAAATGTCCACTTGCAGATTCAACAAAAAGTGTTTTTCAGAACTGCTCTATCAAAAGAAAGATCCACCTCTGTTAGCTGAGTTCACACATCACAAAGAAGTTTATGAGAATGCTTCTGTCTAGTTTTTATTTGAAGATATTTCCTTTCTCAACATAGACCTGAAAGCTGTCCTAATGTTCACTTCCAGATGCTACAGAAAGAGTGTTTCAAAACTGCTGTACGAAAGGGAATGTTCAACTCTGTGACTTGAATGCACACATCACAAAGAAGTTTCTGAGGATGCTGCTGTCTACTTTTTATACGTAATCCCGTTTCCAACGAAATCCTCCAAGCTATCGAAATATCCACTTGCAGATTCCACAGAAAGACTGTTTCAAAACTGCTCTGTCAATAGAAAGGTTCAACTCTGTTAGCTGCGTGCATATATCCCAAAGAAGATTCTGAGATTGCTTCTGTCTAGTTTTTATGGGAAGATATTTCCCTTTTCACCGTAGGCGTCAAGGTGCTCCAAATGTCCACTTCCAGATACTACAAAAAGAGTGTTTCAAACCTACTCTGTGAAAGGGAATATTCAACTCTGTGACTTGAATGCACATATCACAAGGAAGTTTCTGAGAATGCTTCTGTCGAGATTTTATATGAAGATATTCCCGTTTCCAACGAAATCCTGAAATGTATCCAAATATCCCCTCGCAGATTCTACAAAAAGAGTGTTTCAAAACTGCTCTGTAAAAAGAAAGGTTCAACTCTGTTAGTTGAGTAGACACATCACAAACAAGTTTCACAGAATGCTTCTTTCTAGCTTGTAGGGGAAGATATTCCCTTTATCACCATGGGCCTCCAACCGTCCGAAACATCCACTTCCATATACTACAAAAAGAGCGTTTCAAACCTGCTCTATGAAAGGCAATGTTCAACTCTGTGACTTGAATGCAGACATCACAGAGCGGTTTCTGAGAATGCTTCTGTCTAGATTTTATAGGAAGATATTCCCGTTTCCAACGAAATCTTCACAGCTATCCAAATATCCACTTGCAGATTCTACAAAAAGAGTGTATCAAAAGTGCTCTGTCAAAAGGAAGGTTCTTCTCTGTTAGGTGAGCGCATACATCATAAAGGAGTTTCTGAGAATGTTTCTGTCTAGTGGTTATGGGATGATATTTGCTTTTTCACCGTAGGCCTCAGAGCGCTCCAAATATCCACTTGCACATACTACAAAAAGAGTGCCTCAAAGCTGCTCTCTGAAACGGAATGTTCAACTCTATGAGTTGAATGCAAACATCGCAAAGACGTTTCTGAGAATGCTTCTGTCTAGATTTGATATGAAGATATTCCCGTTTCCAACGAAATCTTCAAATCTATCCAAATGTCCACTTGCAGATTCAACAAAAAGTGTTTTTCAGAACTGCTCTATCAAAAGAAAGATCCACGTGTGTTAGCTGAGTTCACACATTACAAACAAGTTTATGAGAATGCTTCTGTCTAGTTTTTATTTGAAGATATTTCCTTTCTCACCATAGACCTGAAAGCTGTCCTAATGTTCACTTCCAGGTACTACAGAAAGAGTGTTTCAAAACTGCTGTACGAAAGGGAATGTTCAACTCTGTGACTTGAATGCACACATCACAAAGAAGTTTCTGAGGATGCTGCTGTCTACTTTTTATACGTAATCCCGTTTCCAACGAAATCCTCCAAGCTATCCAAATATCCACTTGCAGATTCCACAGAAAGACTGTTTCAAAACTGCTCTGTCAATAGAAAGGTTCAACTCTGTTAGCTGCATGCATATATCCCAAAGAAGATTCTGAGATTGCTTCTGTCTAGTTTTGATGGGAAGATATTTCCCTTTTCACCGTAGGTGTCAAGGCGCTCCAAATGTCCACTTCCAGATACTACCAAAAGAGTGTTTCAAACCTACTCTGTGAAAGGGAATATTCAACTCTGTGACTTGAATGCACATATCACAAAGAAGTTTCTGAGAATGCTTCTGTCGAGATTTTGTATGAAGATATTCCCGTTTCCAACGAAATCCTGAAATCTATCCAAATATCCCCTCGGAGAGTCTACAAAAAGAGTGTTTCAAAACTGCTCTGTGAAAAGAAAGGTTCAACTCTCTTAGTTGAGTACACACATCACAAACAAGTTTCACAGAATGCTTCTTTCTATCTTGTAGGGGAAGATATTCCCTTTATCACCATGGGCCTCCAACCGTCCGAAACATCCACTTCCATATACTACAAAAAGAGCGTTTCAAACCTGCTCTATGAAAGGCAATGTTCAACTCTGTGACTTGAATGCAGACATCACAGAGCAGTTTCTGAGAATGCTTCTGTCTAGATTTTATAGGAAGATATTCCCGTTTCCAACGAAATCTTCACAGCTATCCACATATCCACTTGCAGATTCTACAAAAAGAGTGTATCAAAACTGCTCTGTCAAAAGGAAGGTTCTTCTCTGTTAGGTGAGTGCATACGTCATAAAGGAGTTTCTGAGAATGTTTCTGTCTAGTGGTTATGGGAAGATATTTGCTTTTTCACCGTAGGCCTCAGAGCGATCCAAATATCCACTTGCACATACTACAAAAAGAGTGCTTCAAAGCTGCTCTCTGAAACGGAATGTTCAACTCTATGAGTTGAATGCAAACATCACAAAGACGTTTCTGAGAATGCTTCTGTCTAGATTTGATATGAAGATATTCCCGTTTCCAACGAAATCTTCAAATCTATCCAAATGTCCATTTGCAGATTCAACAAAAAGTGTTTTTCAAAACTGTTATATCAAAAGAAAGATCCACATCTGTTAGCTGAGTTCACACATCACAAACAAGTTTAAGAGAATGCTTCTGTCTAGTTTTTATTTGAAGATATTTCCTTTCTCACCATAGACCTGAAAGCTGTCCTAGTGTTCACTTCCAGATACTACAGAAAGAGTGTTTCAAAACTGCTGTACGAAAGGGAATATTCAACTCTGTGACTTGAATGCACACATCACAAAGAAGTTTCTGAGGATGCTGCTGTCTACTTTTTATGCGTAATCCCGTTTCCAACGAAATCCTCCAAGCTATCCAAATATCCACTTGCAGATTCCACAGAAAGACTGTTTCAAAACTGCTCTGTCAATAGAAAGGTTCAACTCTGTTAGCTGCGGTGCATATATCCCAAAGAAGATTCTGAGATTGCTTCTGTCTAGTTTTTATGGGAAGATATTTCCCTTTTCACCTTAGGCGTCAAGGCGCTCCAAATGTCCACTTCCAGATACTACAAAAAGAGTGTTTCAAACCTACTCTGTGAAAGGGAATATTCAAACCTGTGACTTGAATGCACATATCACAAAGAAGTTTCTGAGAATGCTTCTGTTGAGATTTTATATGAAGATATTCCCGTTTCCAATGAAATCCTGAAATCTATCCAAATATCCCCTCGCAGATTCTACAAAAAGAGTGTTTCAAAACTGCTCTGTAAAAACAAAGGTTCAACTCTGTTAGTTGAGTACACACATCACAAACAACTTTCACAGAATGCTTCTTTCTAGCTTGTAGGGGAAGATATTCCCTGTATCACCATGGGCCTCAAACCGTCCGAAGCGTCCACTTCCATATACTAAAAAAAGAGTGTTTGAAACCTGCTCTATGAAAGGCAATGTTCAACTCTGTGACTTGAATGCAGACATCACAGAGCAGTTTCTGAGAATGCTTCTGTCTAGATTTTATAGGAAGATATTCCCGTTTCCAGCGAAATCTTCACAGCTATCCAAATATCCACTTGCAGATTCTACAAAAAGAGTGTATCAAAACTGCTCTGTCAAAAGGAAGGTTCTTCTCTGTTAGTTGAGTACATACGTCATAAAGGAGTTTCTGAGAATGTTTCTGTCTAGTGGTTACGGTAAGATATTTGCTTTTTCACCTTAGGCCTCAGAGCGCTCCAAATATCCACTTGCACATACTACAAAAAGAGTGCTTCAAAGCTGCTCTCTGAAACGGAATGTTCAACTCTATGAGTTGAATGCAAACATGACAAAGACGTTTCTGAGAATGCTTCTGTCTAGATTTGATATGAAGATATTCCCGTTTCCAACGAAATCTTCATATCTATCCAAATGTCCACTTGCAGATTCAACAAAAAGTGTTTTTCAAAACTGCTGTATCAAAAGAAAGATCCACGTCTGTTAGCTGAGTTCACACATCACAAACAAGATTATGAGAATGCTTCTGTCTAGTTTTTATTTGAAGATATTTCCTTTCTCACCATAGACCTGAAAGCTGTCCTAATGTTCACTTCCAGTTACTACAGAAAGAGTGTTTCAAAACTGCTGTACGAAAGGGAATGTTCAACCCTGTGACTTGAATGCACACATCACAAAGAAGTTTCTGAGGATGCTGCTGTCTACTTTTTATACGTAATCCCGTTTCCAACGAAATGCTCCAAGCTATCCAAATATCCACTTGGAGATTCCACAGAAAGACTGTTTCAAAACTGCTCTGTCAATAGAAAGGTTCAACTCTGTTAACTGCGTGCATATATCCCAAAGAAGATTCTGAGATTGCTTCTGTCTAGTTTTTATGAGAAGATATTTCCCTTTTCACCGTAGGCGTCAAGGCGATCCAAATGTCCACTTCCAGATACTACAAAAGGAGTGTTTCAAACCTACTCTGTGAAAGGGAATATTCAACTCTGTGACTTGAATGCAGATATCACAAAGAAGTTTCTGAGAATGCTTCTGTCGAGATTTTATATGAAGATATTCCCGTTTCCAACGAAATGCTGAAATGTATCCAAATATCCCCTCGTAGATTCTACAAAAAGAGTGTTTCAAAACTGCTCTGTAAAAACAAAGGTTCAACTCTGTTAGTTGAGTACACACATCACAAACAAGTTTCACAGAATGCTTCTTTCTAGCTTGTAGGGGAAGATATTCCCTTTATCACCATGGGCCTCAAACCGTCCGAAACGTCCACTTCCATATACTACAAAAAGAGCGTTTCAAACCTGTTCTAGGAAAGACAATGTTCAACTCTGTGACTTGAATGCAGACATCACAGAGCAGTTTCTGAGAATGCTTCTGTATAGATTTTATAGGAAGATATTCCCGTTTCCAACGAAATCTTCACAGCTATCCAAATATCCACTTGCAGATTCTACAAAAAGAGTGTATCAAAACTGCTCTGTCAAAAGGAAGGTTTCTTCTCTGTTAGGTGAGTGCATACGTCATAAAGGAGTTTCTGAGAATGTTTCTGTCTAGTGGTTATGGGAAGATATTTGCCTTTTCACCTTAGGCCTCAGAGCACTCCAAATATCCCCTTGCACATACTACAAAAAGAGTGCTTCAAAGCTGCTCTCTGAAACGGAATGTTCAACTCTATGAGTTGAATGCAAACATCACAAAGACGTTTTTGGGAATGATTCTGTCTAGTATTTGATATGAAGATATTCCCGTTTCCAACGAAATCTTCAAATCTATCCAAATGTCCACTTGCAGATTCAACAAAAAGTGTTTTTCAAAACTGCTGTATCAAAAGAAAGATCCACGTCTGTTAGCTGAGTTCACACATCACAAACAAGTTTATGAGAATGCTTCTGTCTAGTTTTTATTTGAAGATATTTCCTTTCTCACCATAGACCTGAAAGCTGTCCTAATGTTCACTTCCAGATACTACAGAAAGAGCGTTTCAAAACTGCTGTAAGAAAGGGAATGTTCAACTCTGTGACTTGAATGCACACATCACAAAGAAGTTTCTGAGGATGCTGCTGTCTACTTTTTATACGTAATCCCGTTTCCAACGAAATCCTCCCAAGCTATCCAAATATCCACTTGCAGATTCCACAGAAAGACTGTTTCAAAACTGCTCTGTCAATAGAAAGGTTCAACTCTGTTAGCTGCGTGCATATATCCCAAAGAAGATTCTGAGATTGCTTCTGTCTACTTTTTATGAGAAGATATTTCCCTTTTCACCGTAGGCATCAAGGCGCTCCAAAAGTCCACTTCCAGATACTACAAAAAGTGTGTTTCAAACCTACTCTGTGAAAGGGAATATTCAACTCTGTGACTTGAATGCACATATCACAACGAAGCTTCTGAGAATGCTTCTGTCGAGATTTTCTATGAAGATATTCCCGTTTCCAACGAAATCCTGAATTCTATCCAAATATCCCCTCGCAGATTCTACAAAAAGAGTGTTTCAAAACTGCTCTGTAAAAAGAAAGGTTCAACTCTGTTACTTCAGTACACACATCACAAACAAGTTTCACAGAATGCTTCTTTCTAGCTTGTAGGGGAAGATATTCCCTTTATCACCATGGGCCTCAAACCGTCCGAAACGTCCACTTCCATATACTACAAAAAGAGCGTTTCAAACCTGCTAAATGAAAGGCAATGTTCAACTCTGTGACTTGAATGCAGACATCACAGAGCAGTTTCTGAGAATGCTTCTGTCTAGATTTTATAGGAAGATATTCCCGTTTCCAACGAAATCTTCACAGCTATCCAAATATCCACTTTCAGATTCTACAAAAAGAGTGTATCAAAAGTGCTCTGTCAAAAGGAAGCTTCTTCTCTGTTAGGTGAGTGCATACGTCATAAAGGAGTTTCTGAGAATGTTTCTGTCTAGTGGTTATGGGAAGATATTTGCTTTTTCACCGTAGGCCTCAGAGCGCTCCAAATATCCCCTTGCACATACTACAAAAAGAGTGCTTCAAAGCTGCTCTCTGAAAGGGAATGTTCAAATCTGTGAGTTGAATGCAAACATCACAAAGACGTTTCTGAGAATGCTTCTGTCTAGATTTGATAAGAAGATATTCCCGTTTCCAACGAAATCTTCAAATCTATCCAAATGTCCACTTGCAGATTCAACAAAGTGTTTTTCAAAACTGCTGTATCAAAAGAAAGATCCACCTGTGTTAGCTGAGTTCACACTTCACAAACAAGTTTATCAGAATTCTTCTGTCTAGTTTTTATTTGAAGATATATCCTTTCTCACTATAGACCTGAAAGCCCTCCTAATGTTCACTTCCAGATACTACAGAAAGAGTGTTTCAAAACTGCTGTACGAAAGGGAATGTTCATCTCTGTGACTTGAATGCACACATCACAAGGAAGTTTCTGAGGATGCTGCTGTCTACTTTTTATACGTAATCCCGTTTCCAACGAAATCCTCCAATCTATCCAAATATCCACTTGCAGATTCCACAGAAAGACTGTTTCTAAACTGCTCTGTCAGTAGAAAGGTTCAACTCTGTTAGCTGCGTGCATATATCCCAAAGAAGATTCTGAGATTGCTTCTGTCTAGTTTTTATGGGAAGATATTTCCCTTTTCACCGTAGGTGTCAAGGCGCTCCAAATGTCCACTTCCAGATACTACAAAAAGAGTGTTTCAAACCTACTCTGTGAAAGGGAATATTCAACTCTGTGACTTGAATGCAGATATCACAATGAAGTTTCTGAGAATGCTTCTGTCGAGATTTTATATGAAGATATTCCCGTTTCCAACGAAATCCTGAAATCTATCCAAATATCCCCTCGCAGATTCTACAAAAATAGTGTTTCAAAACTGCTCTGTAAAAAGAAAGGTTCAACTCTATTAGTTGAGTACACACATCACAAACAAGTTTCACAGAATGCTTCTTTCTAGCTTGTAGGGGAAGATATTCCCTTTATCACCATGGGCCTCAAACCGTCCGAAACGTCCACTTCCATATACTACAAAAAGAGGGTTTCAAACCTGCTCTATGAAAGGCAATGTTCAACTCTGTGACTTGAATGCAGACATCACAGAGCAGTTTCTGAGAATGCTTCTGTCTAGATTTTATAGGAAGATATTCCCGTTTCCAACGAAATCTTCACAGCTATCCAAATATCCACTTGCAGATTCTACAAAAAGAGTGTATCAAAACTGCTCTGTCAAAAGGAAGGTTCTTCTCTGTTAGGTGAGTGCATACGTCATAAAGGAGTTTCTGAGCATGTTTCTGTCTAGTGGTTATGGGAAGATATTTGCTTTTTCACCGTAGGCCTCAGAGCGCTCCAAATATCCACTTGCACATACTACAAAAAGAGTGCTTCAAAGCTGGTCTCTGAAACGGAATGTTCAACTCTATGAGTTGAATGCAAACATCACAAAGACGTTTCTGAGAATGCTTTCTGTCTAGATTTGATATGAAGATATTCCCGTTTCCAACGAAATCTTCAAATCTATCCAAATGTCCACTTGCAGATTCAACAAAAAGTGTTTTTCAGAACTGTTCTATCAAAAGAAAGATCCACCTCTGTTAGCTGAGTTCACACATCACAAACAAGTTTATGAGAATGCTTCTGTCTAGTTTTTATTTGAAGATATTTCCTTTCTCACCATAGACCTGAAAGCTGTCCTAATGTTCACTTCCAGATACTACAGAAAGAGTGTTTCAAAACTGCTGTACGAAAGGGAATGCTCAACTCTGTGACTTGAATGCACACATCACAAAGAAGTTTCTGAGGATGCTGCTGGCTACTTTTTATACGTAATCCCGTTTCCAACGAAATCCTCCAAGCTATCGAAATATCCACTTGCAGATTCCACAGAAAGACTGTTTCAAAACTGCTCTGTCAATAGAAAGGTTCAACTCTGTTAGCTGCGTGCATATATCCCAAAGAAGATTCTGAGATTGCTTCTGTCTAGTTTTTATGGGAAGATATTTCCCTTTTCACCGTAGGTGTCAATGTGCTCCAAATGTCCACTTCCAGACACTACAAAAAGAGTGTTTCAAACCTACTCTGTGAAAGGGAATATTCAACTCTGTGACTTGAATGCAGATATCACAAAGAAGTTTCTGAGAATGCTTCTGTCGAGATTTTATATGAAGATATTCCCGTTTCCAACGAAATCCTGAAATCTATCCAAATATCCCCTCGCAGATTCTACAAAAAGAGTGTTTCAAAAGTGCTCTGTAAAAAGAAAGGTTCAACTCTGTTAGTTGAGAACACACATCACAAACATGTTTCACAGAATGCTTCTTTCTAGCTTGTAGGGGAAGATATTCCCTTTATCACCATGGGCCTCAAACCGTCCGAAACGTCCTCTTCCATATAGTACAAAAAGAGCGTTTCAAACCTGCTCTATGAAAGGCAATGTTCAACTCTGTGACTTGAATGCAGACATCACAGAGCAGTTTCTGAGAATGCTTCTGTCTAGATGTTATAGGAAGATATTCCCGTTTCCAACGAAATCTTCACAGGTATCCAAATATCCACTTGCAGATTCTACAAAAAGAGTGTATCAAAACTGCTCTGTCAAAAGGAAGGTTCTTCTCTGTTAGGTGAGTGCATACGTCATAAAGGAATTTCTGAGAATGTTTCTGTCTAGTGGTTATGGGAATATATTTGCTTTTTCACCGTAGGCCTCAGAGCGCTCCAAATATCCACTTCCACATACTACAAAAAGAGTGCCTCAAAGCTGCTCTCTGAAACGGAATGTTCAACTCTATGAGTTGAATGCAAACGTCACAAAGACGTTTCTGAGAATGCTTCTGTCTAGATTTGAAATGAAGTTATTCCCGTTTCCAACGAAATCTTCAAATCTATCCAAATGTCCACTTGCAGATTCAACAAAAAGTGTTTTTCAGAACTGCTCTATCAAAAGAAAGATCCACCTCGGTTAGCTGAGTTCACACATCACAAAGAAGTTTATGAGAATGCTTTCTGTCTAGTTTTTATTTGAAGATATTTCCTTTCTCACTATAGACCTGAAAGCTCTCCTAAAGTTCACTTCCAGATACTACAGAAAGAGTGTTTCAAAACTGCTGTACGAAAGGGAATGTTCAACTCTGTGACTTGAATGCACACATCACAAAGAAGTTTCTGAGGATGCTGCTGTCTACTTTTTATACGTAATCCCTTTTCCAACGAAATCCTCCAAGCTATCCAAATATCCACTTGCAGATTCCACAGAAATACTGTTTCAAAACTGCTCTGTCAATAGAAAGGTTCAACTCTGTTAGCTGCGTGCATATATCCCAAAGAAGATTCTGAGATTGCTTCTGTCTAGTTTTTATGGGAAGATATTTCCCTTTTCACCGTAGGTGTCAAGGCGCTCCAAATGTCCACTTCCAGATACTACAAAAAGAGTGTTTCAAACCTACTCTCTGAAAGGGAATATTCAACTCTGTGCCTTGAATGCAGATATCACAATGAAGTTTCTGAGAATGCTTCTGTCGAGATTTTATATGAAGATATTCCCGTTTCCAACGAAATCCTGAAATCTATCCAAATATCCCCTCGCAGATTCTACAAAAAGCGTGTTTCAAAACTGCTCTGTAAAAAGAAAGGTTCAACTCTGTTAGTTGAGTACACACATCACAAACAAGTTTCACAGAATGCTTCTTTCTAGCTGGTAGGGGAAGATATTCCCTTTATCACCATTGGCCTCAAACCGTCCGAAACGTCCACTTCCATATACTACAAAAAGAGCGTTTCAAACCTGCTCTATGAAAGGCAATGTTCAACTCTGTGACTTGAATGCAGACATCACAGAGCAGTTTCTGAGAATCCTTCTGTCTAGATTTTATAGGAAGATATTCCCGTTTCCAACGAAATCTTCACAGCTATCCAAATATCCACTTGCAGATTCTACAAAAAGAGTGTATCAAAACTGCTCTGTCAAAAGGAAGGTTCTTCTCTGTTAGGTGAGTGCATACGTCATAAAGGAGTTCTGAGAATGTTTCTGTCTAGTGGTTATGGGAAGATATTTGCTTTTTCACCGTAGGCCTCAGAGCGCTCCAAATATCCACTTGCACATACTACAAAAAGTGTGCCTCAAAGCTGCTCTCTGAAACGGAATGTTCAACTCTATGAGTTGAATGCAAACATCACAAAGACGTTTCTGAAAATGCTTCTGTCTAGATTTGATATGAAGATATTCCCGTGTCCAACGAAATCTTCAAGTCTATCCAAATGTCCACTTGCAGATTCAACAAAAAGTGTTTTTCAGAACTGCTCTATCAAAAGAAAGATCCACCTCTGTTAGCTGAGTTCACACATCACAAACAACTTTATGAGAATGCTTCTGTCTAGTTTTTATTTGAAGATATATCCTTTCTCACTATATACCTGAAAGCTCTCCTAAAGTTCACTTCCAGATACTACAGAAAGAGTGTTTCAAAACTGCTGTATGAAAGGGAATATTCAACTCTGTGACTTGAATGCACACATCACAAAGAAGTTTCTGAGGATGCTGCTGTCTAATTTTTATACGTAATCCCGTTTCCAACGAAATCCTCCAAACTATCCAAATATCCACTTGCAGATTCCACAGAAAGACTGTTTCAAAACTGCTCTGTCAATAGAAAGGTTCAACTCTGTTAGCTGCGTGCATATATCCCAAAGAAGATTCTGAGATTGCTTCTGTCTAGTTTTTATGGGAAGATATTTCCCTTTTCACCGTAGGCGTCAAGGCGCTCCAAATGTCCACTTCCAGATACTACAAAAAGAGTGTTTCAAACCTACTCTGTGAAAGGGAATATTGAACTCTGTGACTTCAATGCACATATCACAAAGAAGCTTCTGAGAATGCTTCTGTCGAGATTTTGTATGAAGATATTCCCGTTTCCAACGAAATCCTGAAATGTATCCAAATTTCCCCTCGCAGATTCTACAAAAAGAGTGTTTCAAAACTGCTCTGTAAAAAGAAAGGTTCAACTCTGTTAGTTGAGTACACACATCACAAACAAGTTTCACAGAATGCTTCTTTCTAGCTTGTAGGGGAAGATATTTCCTTTATCACCATGGGCCTCAAACCGTCCGAAACGTCCACTTCCATATACTACAAAAAGAGCGTTTCAAACCTGCTCTATGAAAGGCAATGTTCAACTCTGTGACTTGAATGCAGACATCACAGAGCAGTTTCTGAGAATGCTTCTGTCTAGATTTTATAGGAAGACATTCCCGTTTCCAACGAAATCTTCACAGCTATCCAAATATCCACTTGCAGATTCTACAAAAAGAGTGTATCAAAACTGCTCTGTCAAAAGGAAGGTTCTTTTCTGTTAGGTGAGTGCATACGTCATAAAGGAGTTTCTGAGAATGTTTCTGTCTAGTGGTTATGGGAAGATATTTGCTTTTTCACCTTAGTCCTCAGAGCGCTCCAAATATCCACTTGCACATACTACAAAAAGAGTGCCTCAAAGCTGCTCTTTGAAACGGAATGTTCAACTCTATGAGTTGAATGCAAACATCACAAAGACGTTTCTGAGAATGCTTCTGTCTAGATTTGATATGAAGATATTCCCGTTTCCAAAGAAATCTTCAAATCCATCCAAATGTCCACTTGCAGATTCAACAAAAAGTGTTTTTCAGAACTGCTCTATCAAAAGAAAGATCCACCTCTTTTAGCTGAGTTCACACATCACAAACATGTTTATGAGAATGCTTCTGTCTAGTTTTTATTTGAAGATATTTCCTTTCTCACCATAGAGCTGAAAGGTGTCCTAATGTTCACTTCCAGATACTACAGAAAGAGTGTTTCAAAACTGCTGTACGAAAGGGAATGTTCAACTCTGTGACTTGAATGCACACATCACAAAGAAGTTTCTGAGGATGCTGCTGTCTACTTTTTATACGTAATCCCGTTTCCAACGAAATCCTCCAAGCTATCCAAATATCCACTTGCAGATTCCACAGAAAGACCGTTTCAAAACTGCTATGTCAATAGAAAAGTTCAACTCTGTTAGCTGTGTGCATATATCCCAAAGAAAATTCTGAGATTGCTTCTGTCTAGTTTTAATGGGAAGATATTTCCCTTTTCACCGTAGGTGTCAATGTGCTCCAAATTTCCACTTCCAGACACTACAAAAAGAGTGTTTCAAACCTACTCTGTGAAAGGGAATATTCAACTCTGTGACTTGAATGCAGATATCACAAAGAAGTTTCTGAGAATGCTTCTGTCGAGATTTTATATGAAGATATTCCCGTTTCCAACGAAATCCTGAAATGTATCCAAATATCCCCTCGCAGATTCTACAAAAAGAGTGTTTCAAAACTGCTCTGTAAAAGAAAGGTTCAACTCTGTTAGTTGAGTACAAACATCACAAACAAGTTTCACAGAATGCTTCTCTCTAGCTTGTAGGGGAATATATTCCCTTTATCACCATGGGTCTCAAACCGTCCGAAACGTCCACTTCCATATACTACAAAAAGAGCGTTTCAAACCTGCTCTAGGAAAGGCAGTGTTCAACTCTGTGACTTGAATGCAGACATCACAGAGCTGTTTCTGAGAATGCTTCTGTCTGGATTTTATAGGAAGATATTCCCGTTTCCAACGAAATCTTCACAGCTATCCAAATATCCACTTGCAGATTCTACAAAAAGAGTGTATCAAAACTCCTCTGTCAAAAGGAAGGTTCTTCTCTGTTAGTTGAGTACATACGTCATAAAGGAGTTTCTGAGAATGTTTCTGTCTAGTGGTTATGGGAAGATATTTGCTTTTTCACCTTAGGCCTCAGAGCGCTCCAAATATCCACTTGCACATACTACAAAAAGAGTGCTTCAAAGCTGCTCTCTGAAAGGGAATGTTCAACTCTATGAGTTGAATGCAAACATCCCAAAGACGTTTCTGAGAATGCTTCTGTCTAGATTTGATATGAAGATATTCCCGTTTCCAACGAAATCTTCAAATCTATCCAAATGTCCACTTGCAGATTCAACAAAAAGTGTTTTTCCGAACTGCTCTATCAAAAGAAAGATCCGCCTCTGTTAGCTGAGTTCACACATCACAAACAAGTTTATGAGAATGCTTCTGTCTAGTTTTTATTTGAAGATATTTCCTTTCTCACCATAGACCTGAAAGCTGTCCTAATGTTCACTTCCAGATACTACATAAAGAGTGTTTCAACACTGCTGTACGAAAGGGAATGTTCAACTCTGTGACTTGAATGCACACATCACAAAGAAGATTCTGAGGATGCTGCTGTCTACTTTTTATACTTAATCCCGTTTCCAACGAAATCCTCCAAGCTATCCAAATATCCACTAGCAGATTCCACAGAAAGACTGTTTCAAAACTGCTCTGTCAATAGAAAGGTTCAACTCTGTTAGCTGCGTGCATATATCCCGAAGAAGATTCTGAGATTGCTTCTGTCTAGTTTTTATGGGAAGATATTTCCCTTTTCACCGTAGGCGTCCAGGCGCTCCAAATGTCCACTTCCAGATACTACAAAAAGAGTGTTTCAAACCTACTCTGTGAAAGGGAATATTCAACTCTGTGACTTGAATGCACATATCACAAGGAAGTTTCTGAGAATGCTTCTGTCGAGATTTTATATGAAGATATTCCCGTTTCCAACGAAATGCTGAAATCTATCCAAATATCCCCTCGCAGATTCTACGAAAAGAGTGTTTCAAAACTGCTCTGTGAAAAGAAAGGTTCAACTCTGTTAGTTGAGTACACACATCACAAACAAGTTTCACAGAATGCTTCTTTCTAGCTTGTAGGGGAAGATATTCCCTTTATCACCATGGGCCTCAAACCGTCCGAAACGTCCACTTCCATATACTACAAAAAGAGCGTTTCAAACCTGCTCTATGAAAGGCAATGTTCAACTCTGTGACTTGAATGCAGACATCACAGAGCATTTTCTGAGAATGCTTCTGTCTAGATTTTATAGGAAGATATTCCCGTTTCCAACGAAATCTTCACAGCTATCCAAATATCCACTTGCAGATTCTACAAAAAGAGTGTATCAAAACTGCTCTGTCAAAAGGAAGGTTCTTCTCTGTTAGGTGAGAGCATACGTCATAAAGGAGTTTCTGAGAATGTTTCTGTCTAGTGGTTATGGGAAGATATTTGCTTTTTCCCCGTAGGCCTCAGAGCGCTCCAAATATCCACTTGCACATACTACAAAAAGAGTGCTTCAAAGCTGCTCTCTGAAAGGGAATGTTCAACTCTATGAGTTGAATGCAAACATCACAAAGACGTTTCTGAGAATGCTTCTGTCTAGATTTGATATGAAGATATTCCCGTTTCCAACGAAATCTTCAAATCTATCCAAATGTCCACTTGCAGATTCAACAAAAAGTGTTTTTCAAAACTGCTGTATCAAAAGAAAGATCCACCTCTGTTAGCTGAGTTCACACATCACAAACAAGTTTATGAGAATCCTTCTGTCTAGTTTTTATTTGAAGATATTTCCTTTCTCACCATAGACCTGAAAGCTGTCCTATTGTTCACTTCCAGATACTACAGAAAGAGTGTTTCAAAACTGCTGTATGAAAGGGAATGTTCAACTCTGTGACTTGAATGCACACATCACAAAGAAGTTTCTGAGGATGCTGCTGTCTACTTTTTATACGTAATCCCGTTTCCAACGAAATCCTCCAAGCTATCCAAATATCCACTTGCAGATTCCACAGAAAGACTGTTTCAAAACTGCTCTGTCAATAGAAAAGTTCAACTCTGTTAGCTGCGTGCATATATCCCAAGGAAGATTCTGAGATTGCTTCTCTCTAGTTTTTATGGGAAGATATTTCCCTTTTCACCGTAGGTGTCAAGGCGCTCCAAATGTCCACTTCCAGATACTACAAAAAGAGTGTTTCAAACCTACTCTGTGAAAGGGAATATTCAACTGTGTGACTTGAATGCACATATCACAAAGAAGTTTCTGAGAATGCTTCTGTCGAGATTTTATATGAAGATATACCCGTTTCCAACGAAATCCTGAAATCTATCCAAATATCCCCTCGCAGATTCTACAAAAAGAGTGTTTCAAAGCTGCTCTGTGAAAAGAAAGGTTCAACTCTGTTAGTTGAGTACACACATCACAAACAAGTTTCACAGAATGCTTCTTTCTAGCTTGTAGGGGAAGATATTCCCTTTATCACCATGGTCCTCAAACCGTCCGAAACGTCCACTTCCATATACTACAAAAAGAGCGTTTCAAACCTGCTCTAGGAAAGGCAATGTTCAACTCTGTGACTTGAATGCAGACATAAGAGAGCAGTTTCTGAGAATGCTTCTGTCTAGATTTTATAGGAAGATATTCCCGTTTCCAACGAAATCTTCACAGCTATCCAAATATCCACTTGCAGATTCTACAAAAAGAGTGTATAAAAACTGCTCTGTCAAAAGGAAGGTTCTTTTCTGTTAGGTGAGTGCATACGTCATAAAGGAGTTTCTGAGAATGTTTCTGTCTAGTGGTTATGGGAAGATATTTGCTTTTTCACCTTAGGCCTCAGAGCGCTCCAAATATCCCCTTGCACATACTACAAAAAGAGTGCTTCAAAGCTGCTCTCTGAAAGGGAATGTTCAACTCTATGAGTTGAATGCAAACGTCACAAAGACGTTTCTGAGAATGCTTCTGTCTAGATTTGATATGAAGATATTCCCGTTTCCAACGAAATCTTCAAATCTATCCAAATGTCCACTTGCAGATTCAACAAAACGTGTTTTTCAGAACTGCTCTATCAAAAGAAAGATCCACGTCTCTTAGCTGAGTTCACACATCACAAACAAGTTTATGAGAATGCTTCTGTCTAGTTTTTATTTGAAGATATTTCCTTTCTCACCATAGACCTGAAAGCTGTCCTAATGTTCAATTCCAGATACTACAGAAAGAGTGTTTCAAAACTACTGTACGAAAGGGAATGTTCAACTCTGTGACTTGAATGCACACATCACAAAGAAGTTTCTGAGGATGCTGCTGTCTACTTTTTATGCGTAATCCCGTTTCCAACGAAATCCTCCAAGCTATCCAAATATCCACTTTCAGATTCCACAGAAAGACTGTTTCAAAACTGCTCTGTCAATAGAAAGGTTCAACTCTGTTAGCTGCGTGCATATATCCCAAAGAAGATTCTGAGATTGCTTCTGTCTACTTTTTATGAGAAGATATTTCCCTTTTCACTGTAGGCGTCAAGGCGCTCCAAATGTCCACTTCCAGATACTACAAAAAGAGTGTTTCAAACCTACTCTGTGAAAGGGAATATTCAACTCTGTGACTTGAATGCACATATCACAAAGAAGTTTCTGAGAATGCTTCTGTCGAGTATTTTGTATGAAGATATTCCCGTTTCCAACGAAATCCTGAAATCTATCCAAATTTCCCCTCGCAGATTCTACAAAAAGAGTGTTTCAAAACTGCTCTGTGAAAAGAAAGGTTCAACTCTGTTAGTTGAGTACACACATCACAAACAAGTTTCACAGAATGCTTCTTTCTAGCTTGTAGGGGAAGATATTCCCTTTATCACCATGGGCCTCAAACCGTCCGATAAGTCCACTTCCATATACTACAATAAGAGCGTTTCAAACCTGCTCTATGAAAGGCAATGTTCAACTCTGTGACTTGAATGCAGACATCACAGAGCAGTTTCTGAGAATGCTTCTGTCTAGATTTTATAGGAAGATATTCCCGTTTCCAACGAAATCTTCACAGCTATCCAAATATCCACTTGCAGATTCTACAAAAAGAGTGTATCAAAACTGCTCTGTCAAAAGGAAGGTTCTTCTCTGTTAGGTGAGTGCATACGTCATAAAGCAGTTTCTGAGAATGTTTCTGTCTAGTGGTTATGGGAAGATATTTGCTTTTTCACCTTAGGCCTCAGAGCGCTCCAAATATCCCCTTGCACATACTACAAAAAGAGTGCTTCAAAGCTGCTCTCTGAAAGGGAATGTTCAACTCTATGAGTTGAATGCAAACATCACAAAGACATTTCTGAGAATGCTTCTGTCTAGATTTGATATGAAGCATATTCCCGTTTCCAACGAAATCTTCAAATCTATCCAAATGTCCACTTGCAGATTCAACAAAAAGTGTTTTTCAGAACTGCTCTATCAAAAGAAAGATCCACCTCTGTTAGATGAGTTCACACATCACAAACAAGTTTATGAGAATGCTTCTGTCTAGTTTTTATTTGAAGATATTTCCTTTCTCACCATAGAGCTGAAATCTGTCCTAATGTTCACTTCCAGATACTACAGAAAGAGTGTTTCAAAACTGCTGTACGAAAGGGAATGTTCAACTCTGTGACTTGAATGCACACATCACAAAGAAGTTTCTGAGGATGCTGCTGTCTACTTTTTATACGTAATCCCGTTTCCAACGAAATCCTCCAATCTATCCAAATATCCACTTGCAGATTCCACAGAAAGACTGTTTCAAATCTGCTCTGTCAACAGAAAGATTCAACTCTGTTAGCTGCGTGCATATATCCCAAAGAAGATTCTGAGATTGCTTCTGTCTGGTTTTTATGGGAAGATATTTCCCTTTTCACCGTAGGCGTCAAGGTGCTCGATATGTCCACTTCCAGATACCACAAAGAGTGTTTCAAACCTACTCTGTGAAAGGGAATATTCAACTCTGTGACTTGAATGCAGATATCACAAAGAAGTTTCTGTGAATGCTTCTGTCGAGATTTTATATGAAGATATTCCCGTTTCCAACGAAATGGTGAAATCTATCCAAATATCCCCTCGCAGATTCTACAAAAAGAGTGTTTCAAAACTGCTCTGTGAAAAGAAAGGTTCAACTCTGTTAGTTGAGTACACACATCACAAACAAGTTTCACAGAATGCTTCTTTCTAGCTTGTAGGGGAAGATATTCCCTTTATCACCATGGGCCTCAAACCGTCCGAAACGTCCACATCCATATACTACAAAAAGAGCGTTTCAAACCTGCTCTATGAAAGGCAATGTTCAACTCTGTGACTTGAATGCAGACATCACAGAGCAGTTTCTGAGAATGCTTCTGTCTAGATTTTATAGGAAGATATTCCCGTTTCCAACGAGATCTTCACAGCTATCCAAATATCCGCTTGCAGATTCTACAAAAAGAGTGTATCAAAACTGCTCTGTCAAAAGGAAGGTTCTTCTCTGTTAGTTGAGTACATACGTCATAAAGGAGTTTCTGAGAATGTTTCTGTCTAGTGGTTATGGGAAGATATTTGCTTTTTCACCGTAGGCCTCAGAGCGCTCCAAATATCCACTTGCACATACTACAAAAAGAGTGCCTCAAGGCTGCTCTCTGAAACGGAATGTTCAACTCTATGAGTTGAATGCAAACATCGCAAAGACGTTTCTGAGAATGCTTCTGCCTAGATTTGATATGAAGATATTCCCGTTTCCAACGAAATCTTCAAATCTATCCAAATGTCCACTTGCAGATTCAACAAAAAGTGTTTTTCAGAACTGCTCTATCAAAAGAAAGATCCATCTCTGTTAGCTGAGTTCACACATCACAAACAAGTTTATGAGAATGCTTCTGTCTAGTTTTTATTTGAAGATATTTCCTTTCTCACCATAGACCTGAAAGCTGTCCTAATGTTCACTCCCAGATACTACAGAAAGAGTGCTTCAAAACTGCTGTACGAAAGGGAATGTTCAACTCTGTGACTTGAATGCACACATCACAAAGAAGTTTCTGAGGATGGTGCTGTCTACTTTTTATACGTAATCCCGTTTCCAACGATATCCTCCAATCTATCCAAATATCCACTTGCAGATTCCACAGAAAGACTGTTTCAAATCTGCTCAGTCAATAGAAAGGTTCAACTCTGTTAGCTGCGTGCATATATCCCAAAGAAGATTCTGAGATTGCTTCTGTCTAGTTTTTATGGGAAGATATTTCCCTTTTCACCTTAGGTGTCAAGGCGCTCCAAATGTCCACTTCCAGATACTACAAAAAGAGTGATTCAAACCTACTCTGTGAAAGGGAATATTCAACTCTGTGACTTGAATGCACATATCACAAGGAAGTTTCTGAGAATGCTTCTGTCGAGATTTTCTATGAAGATATTCCCGTTTCCAACGAAATCCTGAAATGTATCCAAATATCCCCTCGCAGATTCTACAAAAAGAGTGTTTCAAAACTGCTCTGTAAAAAGAAAGGTTCAACTCTGTTAGTTGAGTACATACATCACAAACAAGTTTCACAGAATGCTTCTTTCTAGCTTGTAGGAGAATATATTCCCTTTATCACCATGGGTCTCAAACCGTCCGAAACGTCCACTTCCATATACTACAAAAAGAGCGTTTCAAACCTGCTCTATGAAAGGCAATGTTCAACTCTGTGACTTGAATGCAGACATCACAGAGCTGTTTCTGAGAATGCTTCTGTCTAGGTTTTATAGGAAGATATTCCCGTTTCCAGCGAAATCTTCACAGCTATCCAAATATCCACTTGCAGATTCTACAAAAAGAGTGTATCAAAACTGCTCTGTCAAAAGGAAAGTTCTTCTCTGCTAGTTGAGTACATACGTCATAAAGAATTTTCTGAGAATGTTTCTGTCTAGTGGTTATGGGAAGATATTTGCTTTTTTCCCCGTAGGCCTCAGGGCGCTCCAAATGTCCACTTGCACATGCTACAAAAAGAGTGCTTCAAAGCTGCTCTCTGAAAGGGAATGTTCAACTCTATGAGTTGAATGCAAACATCACAAAGACGTTTCTGAGAATGCTTCTGTCTAGATTTGATATGAAGATATTCCCGTTTCCAACGAAATCTTCAAATCTATCCAAATGTCCACTTGCAGATTCAACAAAAAGTGTTTTTCAGAACTGCTCTATCAAAAGAAAGATCCACCTCTGTTAGCTGAGTTCACACATCACAAACAAGTTTATGAGAGTGCTTCTGTCTAGTTTTTATTTGAAGATATTTCCTTTCTCACCATAGAGCTGAAAGCTGTCCTAATGTTCACTTCCAGATGCTACAGAAAGAGTGTTTCAAAACTGCTGTACGAAAGGGAATGTTCAACTCTGTGACTTGAATGCACACATCACAAAGAAGTTTCTGAGGATGCTGCTGTCTACTTTTTATACGTAATCCCGTTTCCAACGAAATCCTCCAAGCTATCCAAATATCCACTTGCAGATTCCACAGAAAGACTGTTTCAAAACTGCTCTGTCAATAGAAAGGTTCAACTCTGTTGGCTGCGTGCATATATCCCAAAGAAGATTCTGAGATTGCTTCTGTCTAGTTTTTATGGGAAGATATTTCCCTTTTCACCGTAGGTGTCAAAGCGCTCCAAATGTCCACTTCCAGATACTACAAAAAGAGTGTTTCAAACCTACTCTGTGAAAGGGAATATTCAACTCTGTGACTTGAATGCACATATCACAAAGAAGTTTCTGAGAATGCTTCTGTCGAGATTTTATATGAAGATATTCCCGTTTCCAACGAAATGCTGAAATGTATCCAAATATCCCCTCGCAGATTCTACAAAAAGAGTGTTTCAAAACTGCTCTGTAAAAAGAAAGGTTCAACTCTGTTAGATGAGTACACACATCACAAACAAGTTTCACAGAATGCTTCTTTCTAGCTTGTAGGGGAAGATATTCCCTTTATCACCATGGGCCTCAAACCGTCCGAAAAGTCCACTTCCATATACTACAAAAAGAGCGTTTCAAACCTGCTCTATGAAAGGCAATGTTAAACTCTGTGACTTGAATGCAGACATCACAGAGCAGTTTCTGAGAATGCTTCTGTCTAGATTTTATAGGAAGATATTCCCCTTTCCAACGAAATCTTCACAGCTATCCAAATATCCACTTGCAGATTCTACAAAAAGAGTGTATCAAAACTGCTCTGTCAAAAGGAAGGTTCTTCTCTGTTAGGTGAGTGCATACGTCATAAAGGAGTTTCTGAGAATGTTTCTGTCTAGTGGTTATGGGAAGATATTTGCTTTTTCACCTTAGGCCTCAGAGCGCTCCTAATATCCACTTGCACATACTACAAAAAGAGTGCTTCAAAGCTGCTCTCTGAAAGGGAATGTTCAACTCTATGAGTTGAATGCAAACATCACAAAGACGTTTCTGAGAATGCTTCTGTCTAGATTTGATATGAAGATATTCCCGTTTCCAACGAAATCTTCAAATCTATCCAAATGTCCACTTGCAGACTCAACAAAAAGTGTTTTTCAGAACTGCTCTATCAAAAGAAAGATCCACCTCTGTTAGCTGAGTTCACACATCACAAACAAGTTTATGAGAATGCTTCTGTCTAGTTTTTATTTGAAGATATTTCCTTTCTCACCATAGACCTGAAAGCTGTCCTAATGTTCACTTCTAGATACTACAGAAAGAGTGTTTCAATACTGCTGTACGAAAGGGAATGTTCAACTCTGTGACTTGAATGCACACATCACAAAGAAGTTTCTGAGGATGCTGCTGTCTACTTTTTATACGTAATCCCGTTTCCAAAGAAATCCTCCAAGCTATCCAAATATCCACTTGCAGATTCCACAGAAGGACTGTTTCTAAACTGCTCTGTCAATAGAAAGGTTCAACTCTGTTAGCTGCGTGCATATATCCCAAAGAAGATTCTGAGATTGCTTCTGTCTAGTTTTTATGGGAAGATATTTCCCTTTTCACCATAGGTGTCAAGGCGCTCCAAATGTCCACTTCCAGATACTACAAAAAGAGTGTTTCAAACCTACTCTGTGAAAGGGAATATTCAACTCTGTGACTTGAATGCACATATCACAAAGAAGTTTCTGAGAATGCTTCCGTCGAGATTTTATATGAAGATATTCCCGTTTCCAACGAAATCCTGAAATCTATCCAAATATCCCCTCGCAGATTCTACAAAAAGAGTGTTTCAAAACTGCTCTGTAAAAAGAAAGGTTCAACTCTGTTAGTTGAGTACACACATCACAAACAAGTTTCACAGAATGCTTCTTTCTAGCTTGTAGGGAAAGATATTCCCTTTATCACCATGGGCCTCCAACCGTCCGAAACATCCACTTCCATATACTACAAAAAGAGCGTTTCAAACCTGCTCTATGAAAGGCAATGTTCAACTCTGTGACTTGAATGCAGACATCACAGAGCAGTTTCTGAGAATGCTTCTGTCTAGATTTTATAGGAAGATATTCCCGTTTCCAACGAAATCTTCGCAGCTATCCAAATATCCACTTGCAGATTCTACAAAAAGAGTGTATCAAAACTGCTCTGTCAAAAGGAAGGTTCTTTTCTGTTAGGTGAGTGCATACGTCATAAAGGAGTTTCTGAGAATGTTTCTGTCTAGTGGTTATGGGAAGATATTTGCTTTTTCCCCGTAGGCCTCAGAGCGCTCCAAATGTCCACTTGCACATGCTACAAAAAGAGTGCTTCAAAGCTACTCTCTGGAAGGGAATGTTCAACTCTATGAGTTGAATGCAAACATCACAAAGACGTTTCTGAGAATGCTTCTGTCTAGATTTGATATGAAGATATTCCCGTTTCCAACGAAATCTTCATATCTATCCAAATGTCCACTTGCAGATTCAACAAAAAGTGTTTTTCAAAACTGCTGTATCAAAAGAAAGATCCACGTCTGTTAGCTGATGCTCTATCAAAAGAATGATCCACCTCTGTTAGCTGAGTTCACACATCACAAACAAGTTTATGAAAATGCTTCTGTCTAGTTTATATTTGAAGATATTTCCTTTCTCACCATAGAGCTGAAAGCTGTCCTAATGTTCACTTCCAGATACTACAGAAAGAGTGTTTCAAAACTGCTGTACGAAAGGGAATGTTCAACTCTGTGACTTGAATGCACACATCACAAAGAAGTTTCTGAGGATGCTGCTGTCTACTTTTTATACGTAATCCCGTTTCCAATGAAATCCTCCAACTATCCAAATATCCACTTGCAGATTCCACAGAAAGACTGTTTCAAAACTGCTCTGTCAATAGAAAGGTTCAACTCTGTTAGCTGCGTGCATATATCCCAAAGAAGATTCTGAGATTGCTTCTGTCTAGTTTTTATGGGAAGATATTTCCCTTTTCACCGTAGCGGTCAAGGCGCTCCAAATGTCCACTTCCAGATACTACAAAAAGAGTGTTTCAAACCTACTCTGTGAAAGGGAATATTCAACTCTGTGACTTGAATGCAGATATCACAAAGAAGTTTCTGAGAATGCTTCTGTCGAGATTTTATATGAAGATATTCCCGTTTCCAACGAAATCCTGAAATCTATCCAAATATCCCCTCGCAGATTCTACAAAAAGAGTGTTTCAAAACTGCTCTGTAAAAAGATAGGTTCAACTCTGTTAGTTGAGTACACACATCACAAACAAGTTTCACAGAATGCTTCTTTCTAGCTTGTAGGGGAAGATATTCCCTTTATCACCATGGGCCTCAAACCGTCCGAAACGTCCACTTCCATATACTACAAAAAGAGCGTTTCAAACCTGCTCTAGGAAAGGCAATGTTCAACTCTGTGACTTGAATGCAGTCATCACAGAGCAGTTTCTGAGAATGCTTCTGTCTAGATTTTATAGGAAGATATTCCCGTTTCCAACGAAATCTTCACAGGTATCCAAATATCCACTTGCAGATTCTACAAAAAGAGTGTTTCAAAACTGCTCTGTCAAAAGGAAGGTTCTTCTCTGTTAGGTGAGTGCATACGTCATAAAGGAGTTTCTGAGAATGTTTCTGTCTAGTGGTTATGGGAAGATATTTGCTTTTTCACCGTAGGCCTCAGAGCGCTCCAAATATCCGCTTGCACATACTACAAAAAGAGTGCTTCAAAGCTGCTCTCTGAAACGGAATGTTCAACTCTATGAGTTGAATGCAAACATCACAAAGACGTTTCTGAGAATGCTTCCGTCTAGATTTGATATGAAGATATTCCCGTTTCCAACGACATCTTCAAATCTATCCAAATGTCCACTTGCAGATTCAACAAAAAGTGTTTTTCAGAACTGCTCTATCAAAAGAAAGATCCACGTGTGTTAGCTGAGTTCACACATCACAAACAAGTTTATGAGAATGCTTCTGTTTAGTTTTTATTTGAAGATATTTCCTTTCTCACCATAGAGCTGAAAGCTGTCCTAATGTTCACTTCCAGATACTACAGAAAGAGTGTTTCAAAACTGCTGTACGAAAGGGAATGTTCAACTCTGTGACTTGAATGCACACATCACAAAGAAGTTTCTGAGGATGCTGCTGTCTACTTTTTATACGTAATCCCGTTTCCAACGAAATCCTCCAAGCTATCCAAATATCCACTTGCAGATTCCACAGAAAGACTGTTTCAAAACTGCTCTGTCAATAGAAAGGTTCATCTCTGTTAGCGGCGTGCATAAATCCCAAAGAAGATTCTGAGATTGCTTCTGTCTAGTTTTTATGGGAAGATATTTCCCTTTTCACCGTAGGCGTCCAGGCGCTCCAAATGTCCACTTCCAGATACTACAAAAAGAGTGTTTCAAACCTACTCTGTGAAAGGGAATATTCAACTCTGTGACTCGAATGCACATATCACAAGGAAGTTTCTGAGAATGCTTCTGTCGAGATTTTGTATGAAGATATTCCCGTTTCCAACGAAATCCTGAAATCTATCCAAATTTCCCCTCGCAGATTCTACAAAAAGAGTGTTTCAAAACTGCTCTGTGAAAAGAAAGGTTCAACTGCTGTTAGTTGAGTACACACATCACAAACAAGTTTCACAGAATGCTTCTTTCTAGCTTGTAGGGTAAGATATTCCCTTTATGACCATGGGCCTCAAACCGTCCGAAACGTCCACTTTTATATACTACAAAAAGAGCGTTTCAAACCTGCTCTATGAAAGGCAATGTTCAACTCTGTGACTTGAATGCAGACATCACAGAGCAGTTTCTGAGAATGCTTCTGTCTAGATTTTATAGGAAGATATTCCCGTTTCCAACGAAATCTTCACAGCTATCCAAATATCCACTTGCAGATTCTACAAAAAGAGTGTATCAAAACTGCTCTGTCAAAAGGAAAGTTCTTCTCTGTTAGGTGAGTGCATACGTCATAAAGGAGTTTCTGAGAATGTTTCTGTCTAGTGGTTATGGGAAGATATTTGCTTTTTCACCGTAGGCCTCAGAGCGCTCCAAATATCCACTTGCACATACTACAAAAAGAGTGCCTCAAAGCTGCTCTCTGAAACGGAATGTTCAACTCTATGAGTTGAATGCAAACATCACAAAGACGTTTCTGAGAATGCTTCTGTCTAGATTTGATATGAAGATATTCCCGTTTCCAACGAAATCTTCAAATCTATCCAAATGTCCACTTGCAGATTCAACAAAAAGTGTTTTTCAGAACTTCTCTATCAAAAGAAAGATCCACCTCTGTTAGCTGAGTTCACACATCACAAACAAGTTTATGAGAATGCTTCTGTCTAGTTTTTATTTGAAGATATTTCCTTTCTCACCATAGACCTGAAAGCTGTCCTAATGATCACTTCCAGATACTACAGAAAGAGTGTTTCAAAACTGCTGTACGAAAGGGAATGTTCAACTCTGTGACTTGAATGCACACATCACAAAGAAGTTTCTGAGGATGCTGCTGTCTACTTTTTCTACGTAATCCCGTTTCCAACGAAATCCTCCAAGCTATCCAAATATCCACTTGCAGATTCCACAGAAAGACTGTTTCAAAACTGCTCTGTCAATAGAAAGGTTCAACTCTGTTAGCTGCGTGCATATATCCCAAAGAAGATTCTGAGATTGCTTCTGTCTACTTTTTATGAGAAGATATTTCCCTTTTCACCGTAGGCGTCAAGGCTCTCCAAATGTCCACTTCCAGATACTACAAAAAGAGTGTTTCAAACCTACTCTGTGAAAGGGAATATTGAACTCTGTGACTTGAATGCACATATCACAAAGAAGCTTCTGAGAATGCTTCTGTCGAGATTTTATATGAAGATATTCCCGTTTCCAACGAAATCCTGAAATCTATCCAAATATCCCCTCGCAGATTCTACAAAAAGAGTGTTTCAAAACTGCTCTGTAAAAAGAAAGGTTCAACTCTATTAGTTGAGTACACACATCACAAACAAGTTTCACAGAATGCTTCTTTCTAGCTTGTAGGGGAAGATATTCCCTTTATCACCATGGGCCTCAAACCGTCCGAAACTTCCACTTCCATATACTACAAAAAGAGCGTTTCAAACCTGCTCTAGGAAAGGCAATGTTCAACTCTGTGACTTGAATGCAGACATCACATAGCAGTTTCTGAGAATGCTTCTGTCTAGATTTTATAGGAAGATATTCCCGTTTCCAACGAAATCTTCACAGCTATCCAAATATCCACTTGCAGATTCTACAAAAAGAGTGTATCAAAACTGCTCTGTCAAAAGGAAGGTTCTTCTCTGTTAGTTGAGTACATACGTCATAAAGGAGTTTGTGAGAATGTTTCTGTCTAGTGGTTATGGGAAGATATTTGCTTTTTCACCGAAGGCCTCAGAGCGCTCCAAATGTCCACTTGCACATACTACAAAATGAGTGCCTCAAAGCTGCTCTCTGAAACGGAATGTTCAACTCTATGAGTTGAATGCAAACATCACAAAGACGTTTCCGAGAATGCTTCTGTCTAGATTTGATATGAAGATATTCCCGTTTCCAACGTAATCTTCAAATCTATCCAAATGTCCCCTTGCAGATTCAACAAAGTGTTTTTCAAAACTGCTGTACCAAAGAAAGATCCACCTCTGTTAGCTGAGTTCACACTTCACAAACAAGTTTATCAGAATGCTTCTGTCTAGTTTTTATTTGAAGATATTTCCTTTCTCACCATAGACCTGAAAGCTGTCCTAATGTTCACTTCCAGTTACTACAGAAAGAGTGTTTGAAAACTGCTGTACGAAAGGGAATGCTCAACTCTGTGACTTGAATGCACACATCACAAAGAAGTTTCTGAGGATGCTGCTGTCTACTTTTTATACTTAATCCCGTTTCCAACGAAATCCTCCAAGCTATCCAAATATCCACTTGCAGATTCCACAGAAAGACTGTTTCAAAACTGCTCTGTCAATAGAAAGGTTCAACTCTGTTAGCTGCGTGCATATATCCCAAAGAAGATTCTGAGATTGCTTCTGTCTAGTTTTTATGGGAAGATATTTCCCTTTTCACCGTAGGGCGTCAAGGCGCTCCAAATGTCCACTTCCAGATACTACAAAAAGAGTGTTTCAAACCTACTCTGTGAAAGGGAATATTCAACTCTGTGACTTTAATGCACATATCACAAAGAAGTTTCTGAGAATGCTTCTGTCGAGATTTTCTATGAAGATATTCCCGTTTCCAACGAAATCCTGAAATGTATCCAAATATCCCCTCGCAGATTCTACAGAAAGAGTGTTTCAAAACTGCTCTGTAAAAAGAAAGGTTCAACTCTGTTACTTGAGTACACACATCACAAACAAGTTTCACAGAATGCTTCTTTCTAGCTTGTAGGGGAAGATATTCCCTTTATCACCGTGGGCCTCAAACCGTCCGAAACGTCCACTTCCATATACTACAAAAAGAGCGTTTCAAACCTGCTCTAGGAAAGGCAATGTTCAACTCTGTGACTTGAATGCAGACATCACAGAGCAGTTTCTGAGAATGCTTCTGTCTAGAATTTATAGGAAGATATTCCCGTTTCCAACGAAATCTTCACAGCTATCCAAATATCCACTTTCAGATTCTACAAAAAGAGTGTATCAAAAGTGCTCTGTCAAAAGGAAGGTTCTTCTCTGTTAGGTGAGTGCATACGTCATAAAGGAGTTTCTGAGAATGTTTCTGTCTAGTGGTTATGGGAAGATATTTGCTTTTTCACCTTAGGCCTCAGAGCGCTCCATATATCCCCTTGCACATACTACAAAAAGAATGCTTCAAAGCTGCTCTCTGAAAGGGAATGTTCAACTCTATGATTTGAATGCAAACATCACAAAGACGTTTCTGAGAATGCTTCTGTCTAGATTTGATATGAAGATCTTCCCGTTTCCAACGAAATCTTCAAATCTATCCAAATGTCCACTTGCAGATTCAACAGAAAGTGTTTTTCAGAACTGCTCTATCAAAAGAAAGATCCACCTCTGTTAGCTGAGTTCAGACATCACAAACAAGTTTATGAGAATGCTTCTGTCTAGTTTTTATTTGAAGATATTTCCTTTCTCACCATAGACCTGAAAGCTGTCCTAATGTTCACTTCCAGATACTACAGAAAGAGTGTTTCAAAACTGCTGCACGAAAGGGAATGTTCAACTCTGTGACTTGAATGCACACCTCACAAAGAAGTTTCTGAGGATGCTGCTGTCTACTTTTTATACGTACTCCCGTTTCCAACGAAATCCTCCAAGCTATCCAAATATCCACTTGCAGATTCCACAGAAAGACTGTTTCAAAACTGCTCTGTCAATAGAAAGGTTCAACTCTGTTAGCTGCGTGCATATATCCCAAAGAAGATTCTGAGATTGCTTCTGTCTACTTTTTATGGGAAGATATTTCCCTTTTCACCGTAGGCGTCAAGGCGCTCCAAATGTCCACTTCCAGATACTACAAAAAGAGTGTTTCAAACCTACTCTGTGAAAGGGAATATTCAACTCTGTGACTAGAATGCGCATATCACAATGAAGTTTCTGAGAATGCTTCTGTCGAGATTTTATATGAAGATATTCCCGTTTCCAACGAAATCCTGAAATCTATCCAAATATCCCCTCGCAGATTCTACAAAAAGAGTGTTTCAAAACTGCTCTGTGAAAAGAAAGGTTCAACTCTGTTAGTTGAGTACACACATCACAAACAAGTTTCACAGAATGCTTCTTTCTAGCTTGTAGGGGAAGATATTCCCTTTATCACCATGGGGCTCCAACCGTCCGAAACATCCACTTCCATATACTACAAAAAGAGCGTTTCAAACCTGCTCTATGAAAGGCAATGTTCAACTCTGTGACTTGAATGCAGACATCACAGAGCAGTTTCTGAGAATGCTTCTGTCTAGATTTTATAGGAAGTTATTCCCGTTTCCAACGAAATCTTCACAGGTATCCAAATATCCACTTGCAGATTCTACAAAAAGAGTGTATCAAAACTGCTCTGTCAAAAGGAAGGTTCTTCTCTGTTAGGTGAGTGCATACGTCATAAAGGAGTTTCTGAGAATGTTTCTGTCTAGTGGTTATGGGAAGATATTTGCTTTTTCACCGTAGGCCTCAGAGCGCTCCAAATATCCACTTGCACATACTACAAAAAGAGTGCTTCAAAGCTGCTCTCTGAAACGGAATGTTTAACTCTATGAGTTGAATGCAAACATCACAAAGACGTTTCTGAGAATGCTTCTGTCTAGATTTGATATGAAGATATTCCCGATTCCAAAGAAATCTTCAAATCTATCCAAATGTCCACTTGCAGATTCAACAAAAAGTGTTTTTCAGAACTGCTCTATCAAAAGAAAGATCCACGGCTCTTAGCTGAGTTCACACATCACGAACAAGTTTATGAGAATGCTTCTGTCTAGTTTTTATTTGAAGATATTTCCTTTCTCACCATAGACCTGAAACGCTGTCCTAATGTTCACTTCCAGATACTACAGAAAGAGTGTTTCAAAACTGCTGTACGAAAGGGAATGTTCAACTCTGTGACTTGAATGCACACATCACAAGGAAGTTTCTCAGGATGCTGCTGTCTACTTTTTATACGTAATCCCGTTTCCAACGAAATCCTCCAAGCTATCCAAATATCCACTTGCAGATTCCACAGAAAGACTGTTTCAAAACTGCTCTGTCAATAGAAAGGTTCAACTCTGTTAGCTGCGTGCATATATCCCAAAGAAGATTCTGAGATTGCTTATCTGTCTACTTTTTATGAGAAGATATTTTCCTTTTCACCGTAGGCGTCAGGGCGCTCCAAATGTCCACTTCCAGATACTACAAAAAGAGTGTTTCAAACCTACTCTGTGAACGGGAATATTCAACTCTGTGACTTGAATGCACATATCACAAAGAAGCTTCTGAGAATGCTTCTGTCGAGATTTTATATGAAGATATTCCCGTTTCGAACGAAATCCTGAAATCTATCCAAATATCCCCTCGCAGATTCTACAAAAAGAGTGTTTCAAAACTGCTCTGTAAAAAGAAAGGTTCAACTCTGTTAGTTGAGTACACACATCACAAAAAAGTTTCACAGAATGCTTCTTTCTAGCTTGTAGGGGAAGATATTCCCTTTATCACCATGGGCCTCAAACCGTCCGAAAAGTCCACTTCCATATACTACGAAAAGAGCATTTCAAACCTGCTCTATGAAAGGCAATGTTCAACTCTGTGACTTGAATGCAGACATCACAGAGCAGTTTCTGAGAATGCTTCTGTCTAGATTTTATAGGAAGATATTCCCGTTTCCAACGAAATCTTCACAGCTATCCAAATATCCACTTGCAGTTTCTACAAAAAGAGTGTATCAAAACTGCTCTCTCAAAAGGAAGGTTCTTCTCTGTTAGTTGAGTACATACGTCATAAAGGAGTTTCTGAGAAAGTTTCTGTCTAGTGGTTATGGGAAGATATTTTCTTTTTCACCGTAGGCCTCAGAGCGCTCCAAATATCCACTTGCACATACTACAAAAAGAGTGTTTCAAAGCTGCTCTCTGAAAGGGAATGTTCAACTCTATGAGTTGAATGCAAACATGACAAAGACGTTTCTGAGAATGCTTCTCTCTAGATTTGATATGAAGATATTCCCATTTCCAAAGAAATCTTCAAATCTATCCAAATGTCCACTTGCAGATTCAACAAAAAGTGTTTTTCAGAACTGCTCTATCAAAAGAAAGATCCACGTCTCTTAGCTGAGTTCACACATCACAAACAAGTTTATGAGAATGCTTCTGTGTAGTTTTTATTTGAAGATATTTCCTTTCTCACCATAGACCTGAATGCTGTCCTAATGTTCACTTCCAGACACTACAGAAAGAGTTTTTCAAAACTGCTGTACGAAAGGGAATGTTCAACTCTGTGACTTGAATGCACACATCACAAAGAAGTTTCTGAGGATGCTGCTGTCTACTTTTTATAGGTAATCCCGTTTCCAACGAAATCCTCCAAGCTATCCAAATATCCACTTGCAGATTCCACAGAAAGACTGTTACAAAACTGCTCTGTCAATAGAAAGGTTCAACTCTCTTAGCTGCGTGCATATATCCCAAAGAAGATTCTGAGATTGCTTCTGTCTAGTTTTTATGGGAAGATATTTCCCTTTTCACCGTAGTTGTCAATGTGCTCCAAATGTCCACTTCCAGACACTACAAAAAGAGTGTTTCAAACCTACTCTGTGAAAGGGAATATTCAACTCTGTGACTTGAATGCAGATATCACAAAGAAGTTTCTGAGAATGCTTCTGTCGAGATTTTATATGAAGATATTCCCGTTTCCAACGAAATCCTGAAATCTATCCAAATATCCCCTCGCAGATTCTACAAAAAGAGTGTTTCAAAACTGCTCTGTAAAAAGAAAGGTTGAACTCTGTTACTTGAGTACACACATCACAAACAAGTTTCACAGAATGCTTCTTTCTAGCTTGTAGGGGAAGATATTCCCTTTATCACCATGGGCCTCAAACCGTCCGAAACGTCTACTTCCATATACTACAAAAAGAGCGTTTCAAACCTGCTCTATGAAAGGCAATGTTCAACTCTGTGACTTGAATGCAGACATCACAGAGCAGTTTCTGAGAATGCTTTCTGTCTAGATTTTATAGGAAGATATTTCCGTTTCCAACGAAATCTTCACAGCTATCCAAATATCCACTTGCAGATTCTACAAAAAGAGTGTATCAAAACTGCTCTGTCAAAAGGAAGGTTCTTCTCTGTTAGGTGAGTGCATACGTCATAAAGGAGTTTCTGAGAATGTTTCTGTCTAGTGGTTATGGGAAGATATTTGCTTTTTCACCGTAGGCCTCAGAGCGCTCCAAATATCCACTTGCACATACTACAAAAAGAGTGCCTCAAAGCTGCTCTCTGAAACGGAATGTTCAACTCTATGAGTTGAATGCAAACATCGCAAAGACGTTTCTGAGAATGCTTTCTGTCTAGATTTGATATGAAGATATTCCCGTTTCCAACGAAATCTTCAAATCTATCCAAATGTCCACTTGCAGATTCAACAAAAAGTGTTTTTCAGAACTGCTCTATCAAAAGAAAGATCCACGTGTGTTAGCTGCGTTCACACATCACAAACAAGTTTATGAGAATGCTTCTATCTAGTTTTTATTTGAAGATATTTCCTTTCTCACCATCGACCTGAAAGCTGTCCTAATGTTCACTTCCAGATACTACAGAAAGAGTGTTTCAAAACTGCTGTACGAAAGGGAATGTTCAACTCTGTGACTTGAATGCACACATCACAAAGAAGTTTCTGAGGATGCTGCTGTCTACTTTTTATACGTAATCCCGTTTCCAACGAAATCCTCCAAGCTATCCAAATATCCACTTGCAGATTCCACAGAAAGAGTGTTTCAAAACTGCTCTGTCAATAGAAAGGTTCAACTCTGTTAGCTGCGTGCATATATCCCAAAGAAGATTCTGAGATTGCTTCTGTCTAGTTTTTATGGGAAGATATTTCCCTTTTCACCGTAGGTGTCAAGGTGCTCCAAATGTCCACTTCCAGATACTACAAAAAGAGTGTTTCAAACCTACTCTGTGAAAGGGAATATTCAACTCTGTGACTTGAATGCAGATATCACAAAGAAGTTTCCTGAGAATGCTTCTGTCGAGATTTTATATGAAGATATTCCCGTTTACAACGAAATTCTGAAATCTATCCAAATATCCCCTCGCAGATTCTAGAAAAAGAGTGTTTCAAAACTGCTCTGTAAAAAGAAAGGTTCACTTCTCTTAGTTGAGTACACACATCACAAACAAGTTTCTCAGAATGCTTCTTTCTAGCTTGTAGGGGAAGATATTCCCTTTATCACCATGGGCCTCAAACCGTCCGAAACGTCTACTTCCATATACTACAAAAAGAGCGCTTCAAACCTGCTCTATGAAAAGCAATGTTCAACTCTGTGACTTGAATGCAGACATCGCAGAGCAGTTTCTGAGAATGCTTCTGTCTAGATTTTATAGGAAGATATTCCCGTTTCCAACGAAATCTTCACAGCTATCCAAATATCCACTTGCAGATTCTACAAAAAGAGTTTATCAAAACTGCTCTGTCAAAAGGAAGGTTCTTCTCTGTTAGGTGAGTGCATACTTCATAAAGGAGTTTCTGAGAATGTTTCTGTCTAGTGGTTATGGGAAGATATTTGCTTTTTCACCGTAGGCCTCAGAGCGCTCCAAATGTCCACTTGCACATGCTACAAAAAGAGTGCTTCAAAGCTGCTCTCTGAAAGGGAATGTTCAACTCTATGAGTTGAATGCAAACATCACAAAGACGTTTCTGAGAATGCTTCTGTCTAGATTTGATATGAAGATATTCCCGTTTCCAACGAAATCTTCAAATCTATCCAAATGTCCACTTGCAGATTCAACAAAAAGTGTTTTTCCGAACTGCTCTATCAAAAGAAAGATCCACCTCTGTTAGCTCAGTTCACACATCACAAACAAGTTTATGAGAATGTTTCTGTCTAGTTTTTATTTGAAGATATTTCCTTTCTCACCATAGACCTGAAAGCTGTCCTAATGTTCACTTCCAGATACTACAGAAAGAGTGTTTCAAAACTGCTGTACGAAAGGGAATGTTCAGCTCTGTGACTTGAATGCACACATCACAAAGAAGTTTCTGAGGATGCTGCTGTCTACTTTTTATACGTAATTCCGTTTCCAACGAAATCCTCCAATCTATCCAAATATCCACTTGCAGATTCCACAGAAAGACTGTTTCAAATCTGCTCAGTCAATAGAAAGGTTCAACTCTGTTAGCTGCGTGCATATATCACAAAGAAGATTCTGAGATTGCTTCTGTCTAGTTTTTATGGGAAGATATTTCCCTTTTCACCGTAGGCGTCAAGGCGCTCCAAATGACCACTTCCAGATACTACAAAAAGAGTGTTTCAAACCTACTCTGTGAAAGGGAATATTCAACTCTGTGACTTGAATGCACATATCACAAGGAAGTTTCTGAGAATGCTTCTGTCGAGATTTTATATGAAGATATTCCCGTTTCCAACGAAATGCTGAAATGTATCAAAATATCCCCTCGCAGATTCTACAAAAAGAGTGTTTCAAAACTGCTCTGTAAAAAGAAAGGTTCAACTCTGTTAGTTGAGTACACACATCACAAACAAGTTTCACAGAATGCTTCTTTCTAGCTTGTAGGGGAAGATATTCCCTTTATCACCATGGGCCTCAAACCGTCCGAAACGTCTACTTCCATATACTACAAAAAGAGCGTTTCAAACCTGCTCTATGAAAAGCAATGTTCAACTCTGTGACTTGAATGCAGACATCACAGAGCAGTTTCTGAGAATGCTTCTGTCTAGATTTTATAGGAAGATATTCTCGTTTCCAACGAAATCTTCACAGCTATCCAAATATCCACTTGCAGATTCTACAAAAAGAGTGTATCAAAACTGCTCTGTCAAAAGGAAGGTTCTTCTCTGTTAGGTGAGTGCATACGTCATAAAGGAGTTTCTGAGAATGTTTCTGTCTAGTGGTTATGGGAAGATATTTGCTTTTTCACCGTAGGCCTCAGAGCGCTCCAAATATCCACTTGCACATACTACAAAAAGAGTGCTTCAAAGCTGCTCTCTGAAACGGAATGTTCAACTCTGTGAGTTGAATGCAAACATCACAAAGACGTTTCTGAGAATGCTTCTGTCTACATTTGATATGAAGATATTCCCGTTTCCAACGAAATCTTCAAATCTATCCAAATGTCCACTTGCATAATCAACAAAAAGTGTTTTTCAGAACTGCTCTATCAAAAGAAAGATCCACCTCTGTTAGCTGAGTTCACACATCACAAACAAGTTTATGAGAATGCTTCTGTCTAGTTTTTATTTGAAGATATTTCCTTTCTCACCATAGACCTGAAAGCTGTCCTAATGTTCACTTCCAGATACTACAGAAAGAGTGTTTCAAAACTGCTGTACGAAAGGGAATGTTCAACTCTGTGACTTGAATGCACACCGCACAAAGAAGTTTCTGAGGATGCTGCTGTCTACTTTTTATACTTAATCCCGTTTCCAACGAAATCCTCCAAGCTATCCAAATATCCACTTGCAGATTCCACAGAAAGACTGTTTCAAAACTGCTCTGTCAATAGAAAGGTTCAACTCTGTTAGCTGCGTGCATATATCCCAAAGAAGATTCCTGAGATTGCTTCTGTCTAGTTTTTATGGGAAGATATTTCCCTTTTCACCGTAGGCGTCAAGGCGCTCCAAATGTCCACTTCCAGATACTACAAAAAGAGTGTTTCAAACCTACTCTGTGAAAGGGAATATTCAACTCTGTGACTTGAATGCAGATATCACAAAGAAGTTTCTGAGAATGCTTCTGTCGAGATTTTATATGAAGATATTCCCGTTTCCAACGAAATCCTGAAATCTATCCAAATATCCCCTCGCAGATTCTACAAAAAGAGTGTTTCCAAACTGCTCTGTAAAAAGAAAGGTTCAACTCTGTTAGTTGAGTACACACATCACAAACAAGTTTCACAGAATGCTTCTTTCTAGCTTGTAGGGGAAGATATTCCCTTTATCACCATGGGCCTCAAACCGTCCGAAACGTCCACTTCCATATACTACAAAAAGATCGTTTCAAACCTGCTCTAGGAAAGGCAATGTTCAACTCTGTGACTTGAATGCAGACATCACAGAGCAGTTTCTGAGAATGCTTCTGTCTGGATTTTATAGGAAGATATTCCCGTTTCCAACGAAATCTTCACAGCTATCCAAATATCCACTTGCAGATTCTACAAAAAGAGTGTATCAAACCTGCTCTGTCAAAAGGAAGGTTCTTCTCTGTTAGTTGAGTACATACGTCATAAAGGAGTTTCTGAGAATGTTTCTGTCTAGTGGTTATGGGAAGATATTTGCTTTTTCACCGTAGGCCTCAGAGCGCTCCAAATATCCACTTGCACATACTACAAAAAGAGTGCCTCAAAGCTGCTCTTGGAAACGGAATGTTCAACTCTATGAGTTGAATGCAAACATCACAAAGACGTTTCTGAGAATGCTTCTGTCTAGATTTGATATGAAGATATTCCCGTTTCCAACGAAATCTTCATATCTATCCAAATGTCCACTTGCAGATTCAACAAAAAGTGTTTTTCAAAACTGCTGTATCAAAAGAAAGATCCACGTCTGTTAGCTGAGTTCACACATCACAAACAAGTTTATGAGAATGCTTCTGTCTAGTTTTTATTTGAAGATATTTCCTTTCTCACCATAGACCTGAAAGCTGTCCTAATGTTCACTCCCAGATAATACACAAAGAGTGTTTCAAAACTGCTGTACGAAGGGGAATGTTCAACTCTGTGACTTGAATGCACACATCACAAAGAAGTTTCTGAGGATGCTGCTGTCTACTTTTTATACGTAATCCCGTTTCCAACGAAATCCTCCAAGCTATCCAAATATCCACTTGCAGATTCCACAGAAAGACTGTTTCAAAACTGCTCTGTCAATAGAAAGGTTCAACTCTGTTAACTGCGTGCATATATCCCAAAGAAGATTCTGAGATTGCTTCTGTGTAGTTTTTATGGGAAGATATTTCCTTTTTCACCATTGGCGTCAAAGCGCTCCCAATGTCCACTTCCAGATACTACAAAAAGAGTGTTTCAAACCTGCTATGTGAAAGGGAATATTCAACTCTGTAACTTCAATGCATATATCACAAAGAGGTTTCGGAGAATGCTTCTGTCGAGATTTTATATGAAGATATTCCCGTTTCCAACGAAATCCTGAAATCTATCCAAATATCCCCTCGCAGATTCTACAGAAAGAGTGTTTCAAAACTGCTCTGTAAAAAGAAAGGTTCAACTCTGTTAGTTGAGTGCACATATCACAAACAAGTTTCACAGAATGCTTCTTTCTAGCTTGTAGGGGAAGATATTCCCTTTATCACCATGGGCCTCCAACCGTCCGAAACATCCACTTCCATATACTACAAAAAGAGCGTTTCAAACCTGCTCTATGAAAGGCAATGTTCAACTCTGTGACTTGAATGCAGACATCACAGAGCAGTTTCTGAAAATGCTTCTGTCTAGATTTTATAGGAAGATATTCCCGTTTCCAACGAAATCTTCACAGCTATCCAAATATCCACTTGCAGATTCTACAAAAAGAGTGTATCAAAACTGCTCTGTCAAAAGGAAGGTTCTTCTCTGTTAGGTGAGTGCATACGTCGTAAAGGAGTTTCTGAGAATGTTTCTGTCTAGTGGTTATGGGAAGATATTTGCTTTTTCACCGTAGGCCTCAGAGCGCTCCAAATATCCACTTGCACATACTACAAAAAGAGTGCCTCAAAGCTGCTCTCTGAAACGGAATGTTCAACTCTATGAGTTGAATGCAAACATCACAAAGACGTCTCTGAGAAGGCTTCTGTCTAGATTTGATATGAAGATATTCCCGTTTCCAACGAAATCTTCAAATCTATCTAAATGTCCACTTGCAGATTCAACAAAAAATGTTTTTCAGAACTGCTCTATCAAAAGAAAGATCCACCTCTGTTAGCTGAGTTCACACATCACAAACAAGTTAATGAGAATGCTTCTGTCTAGTTTTTATTTGAAGATATTTCCTTTCTCACCATAGAGCTGAAAGCTGTCCTAATGTTCACTTCCAGATACTACAGAAAGAGTGTTTCAAAACTGCTGTACGAAAGGGAATGTTCAACTCTGTGACTTGAATGCACACGTCACAAAGAAGTTTCTGAGGATGCTGCTGTCTACTTTTTATACGTAATCCCGTTTCCAACGAAATCCTCCAAGCTATCCAAATATCCACTTGCAGATTCCACAGAAAGGCTGTTTCAAAACTGCTCTGTCAATAGAAAGGTTCAACTCTGTTAGCTGCGTGCATATATCCCAAAGAAGATTCTGAGATTGCTTTCTGTCTAGTTTTTATGGGAAGATATTTCCCTTTTCACCGTAGGCGTCATGGCGCTCCAAATGTCCACTTCCAGATACTACAAAAAGAATGTTTCAAACCTACTCGGTGAAAGGGAATATTCAACTCTGTGACCTGAATGCAGATATCACAAAGAAGTTTCTGAGAATGCTTCTGTCGAGATTTTATATGAAGATATTCCCGTTTCCAACGAAATCCTGAAATCTATCCAAATATCCCCCCGCAGATTCTACAAAAAGAGTGTTTCAAAACTGCTCTGTAAAAAGAAAGGTTCAACTCTGTTAGTTGAGTACACACATCACAAACAAGTTTCACAGAATGCTTCTTTCTAGCTTGTAGGGGAAGATATTCCCTTTATCACCATGGGCCTCCAACCGTCCGAAACATCCACTTACATATACTACAAAAAGAGCGTTTCAAACCTGCTCTATGAAAGGCAATGTTCAACTCTGTGACTTGAATACAGATATCACAGAGCAGTTTCTGAGAATGCTTCTGTCTAGATTTTATAGGAAGATATTCCCGTTTCCAACGAAATCTTCACAGCTATCCAAATATCCACTTGCAGATTCTACAAAAAGAGTGTATCAAAACTGCTCTGTCAAAAGGAAGGTTCTTCTCTGTTGGGTGAGTGCATACGTCATAAAGGAGTTTCTGAGAATGTTTCTGTCTAGTGGTTATGGGAAGATATTTGCTTTTTCACCTTAGGCCTCAGAGCGATCCAAATATCCACTTGCACATACTACAAAAAGAGTGCTTCAAAGCTGCTCTCTGAAACGGAATGTTCAACTCTATGAGTTGAATGCAAACATGACAAAGACGTTTCCGAGAATGCTTCTGTCTAGATTTGATATGACGATATTCCCGTTTCCAACGAAATCTTCAAATCTATCCAAATGTCCACTTGCAGATTCAACAAAACGTGTTTTTCAGAACTGCTCTATCAAAAGAAAGATCCACGTCTCTTAGCTGAGTTCACACATCACAAACAAGTTTATGAGAATGCTTCTGTCTAGTTTTTATTTGAAGATATTTCCTTTCTCACCATAGACCTGAAAGCTGTCCTAATGTTCACTTCCAGACACTACAGAAAGAGTGTTTCAAAACTGCTGTACGAAAGGGAATGTTCAACTCTGTGACTTGAATGCACACATCACAAAGAAGTTTCTGAGGATGCTGCTGTCTACTTTTTATACGTAATCCCATTTCCAACGAAATCCTCCAAGCTATCCAAATATCCACTTGCAGATTCCACAGAAAGACTGTTTCAAAACTGCTATGTCAATAGAAAAGTTCAACTCTGTTAGCTGTGTGCATATATCCCAAAGAAAATTCTGAGATTGCTTCTGTCTAGTTTTTATGGGAAGATATTTCCCTTTTCACCGTAGGCGTCAATGCGCTCCAAATGTCCACTTCCAGATACTACAAAAAGAGTGTTTCAAACCTACTCTGTGAAAGGGAATATTCAACTCTGTGACTTAAAGGCAGATATCACAAAGAAGTTTCTGAGAATGCTTCTGTCGAGATTTTATATGAAGATATTCCCGTTTCCAACGAAATCCTAAATCTATCCAAATATCCCCTCGCAGATTCTACAAAAAGAGTGTTTCAAAACTGCTCTGTAAAAAGAAAGGTTCAACTCTGTTAGTTGAGTACACACATCACAAACAAGTTTCACAGAATGCTTCTTTCTAGCTTGTAGGGGAAGATATTCCCTTTATCACCATGGGCCTCAAAGCGTCCGAAACGTCTACTTCCATATACTACAAAAAGAACGTTTCAAACCTGCTCTATGAAAAGCAATGTTCAACTCTGTGACTTGAATGCAGACATCACAGAGCAGTTTCTGAGAATGCTTCTGTCTAGATTTTATAGGAAGATATTCCCGTTTCCAACGATATCTTCACAGCTATCCAAATATCCACTTGCAGATTCTACAAAAAGAGTGTATCAAAACTGCTCTGTCAAAAGGAAGGTTCTTCTCTGTTAGTTGAGTACATACGTCATAAAGGAGTTTCTGAGAATGTTTCTGTCTAGTGGTTATGGGAAGATATTTGCTTTTTCACCTTAGGCCTCAGAGCGCTCCAAATATCCCCTTGCACATACTACAAAAAGAGTGCTTCAAAGCTGCTCTCTGAAACGGAATGTTCAACTCTATGGGTTGAATGCAAACATCACAAAGACGTTTCTGAGAATGCTTCTGTCTAGATTTGATATGAAGATATTCCCGTTTCCAAAGAAATCTTCAAATCTATCCAAATGTCCACTTGCAGATTCAACAAAAAGTGTTTTTCAGAACTGCTCTATCAAAAGAAAGATCCAGGTCTCTTAGCTGAGTTCACACATCACAAACAAGTTTATGAGAATGCTTCTGTCTAGTTTTTATTTGAAGATATTTCCTTTCTCACCATAGACCTGAAAGCTGTCCTAATGTTCACTTCCAGATACTACAGAAAGAGTGTTTCAAAACTGCTGTACGAAAGGGAATGTTCAACTCTGTGACTTCAATGCACACATCACAAAGAAGTTTCTGAGGATGCTGCTGTCTACTTTTTATACGTAATCCCGTTTCCAACGAAATCCTCCAAGCTATCCAAATATCCACTTGCAGATTCCACAAAAAGACTGTTTCAAAACTGCTCTGTCAATAGAAAGGTTCAACTCTGTTAGCTGCGTGCATACATCCCAAAGAAGATTCTGAGATTGCTTCTGTCTACTTTTTATGAGAAGATATTTCCCTTTTCACCGTAGGCGTCAAGGCGCTCCAAATGTCCACTTCCAGATACTACAAAAAGAGTGTTTCAAACCTACTCTGTGAAAGGGAATATTCAACTGTGTGACTTGAATGCACATATCACAAAGAAGCTTCTGAGAATGCTTCTGTCGAGATTTTATATGAAGATATTCCCGTTTCCAACGAAATCCTGAAATGTATCCAAATATCCCCTCGCAGATTATACAAAAAGAGTGTTTCAAAACTGCTCTGTAAAAAGAAAGGTTCAACTCTGTTAGTTGAGTACACACATCACAAACAAGTTTCACACAATGCTTCTTTCTAGCTTGTAGGGGAAGATATTTCCTTTATCACCATGGTTCTCAAACCGTCCGAAACGTCCACTTCCATATACTAAAAAAAGAGTGTTTGAAACCTGCTCTATGAAAGGCAATGTTCAACTCTGTCACTTGAATGCAGACATCACAGAGCAGTTTCTGAGAATGCTTCTGTCTAGATTTTATAGGAAGATATTCCCGTTTCCAACGAAATCTTTACAGCTATCCAAATATCCACTTGCAGATTCTACAAAAAGAGTGTATCAAAACTGCTCTGTCAAAAGGAAGGTTCTTCTCTGTTAGGTGAGTGCATACGTCATAAAGGAGTTTCTGAGAATGTTTCTGTCTAGTGGTTATGGGAAGATATTTGCTTTTTCCCCGTAGGCCTCAGGGCGCTCCAAATGTCCACTTGCACATGCTACAAAAAGAGTGCTTCAAAGCTGCTCTCTGAAAGGGAATGTTCAACTCTATGAGTTGAATGCAAACATCACAAAAACGTTTCTGAGAATGCTTCTGTCTAGATTTGATATGAAGATATTCCCGTTTCCAACGAAATCTTCAAATCTATCCAAATGTCCACTTGCAGATTCAACAAAAAGTGTTTTTAAAACTGCTGTATCAAAAGAAAGATTCACGTCTGTTAGCTGAGTTCACACATCACAAACAAGTTTATGAGAATGCTTCTGTCTAGTTTTTATTTGAAGATATTTCCCTTCTCACCATAGACCTGCAAGCTGTCCTAATGTTCACTTCCAGATACTACAGAAAGAGTGTTTCAAAACTGCTGTACGAAAGGGAATGTTCAACTCTGTGACTTGAATGCACACATCACAAAGTAGTTTCTGAGGATGCTGCTGTGTACTTTTGATACGTAATCCCGTTTCCAACGAAATCCTCCAAGCTATCGAAATATCCACTTGCAGATTCCACAGAACGACTGTTTCAAAACTGCTCTGTCAATAGAAATGTTCAACTCTGTTAGCTGCGTGCATATATCCCAAAGAAGATTCTGAGATTGCTTTCTGTCTACTTTTTATGAGAAGATATTTCCCTTTTCACCGTAGGCGTCAAGGTGCTCAAAATGTCCACTTCCAGATACTACAGAAAGAGTGTTTCAAACCTACTCTGTGAAAGGGAATATTCAACTCTCTGACTTGAATGCACATATCACAAAGAAGTTTTCTGAGAATGCTTCTGTCGAGATTTTATATGAAGATATTCCCGTTTCCAACGAAATCCTGAAATGTATCCAAATATCCCCTCGCAGATTCTACAAAAAGAGTGTTTCAAAACTGCTCTGGAAAAAGAAAGGTTCAACTCTGTTAGTTGAGTACACACATCACAAACAAGTTTCACAGAATGCTTCTTTCTAGCTTGTAGGGGAAGATATTCCCTTTATCACCATGGGCCTCAAACCGTCTGAAACGTCCACTTCCATATACTACAAAAAGAGCGTTTCAAACCTGCTCTATGAAAGGCAATGTTCAACTCTGTGAGTTGAATGCAGACATCACAGAGCAGTTTCTGAGAATGCTTCTGTCTAGATTTTATAGGAAGATATTCCCGTTTCCAACGAAATCTTCACAGCTATCCAAATATCCACTTGCAGGTTCTACAAAAAGAGTGTATCAAAACTGCTCTGTCAAAAGGAAGGTTCTTTTCTGTTAGGTGAGTGCATACGTCATAAAGGAGTTTCTGAGAATGTTTCTGTTTAGTGGTTATGGGAAGATATTTGCTTTTTCACCTTAGGCCTCAGAGCGCTCCAAATATCCCCTTGCACATACTACAAAAAGAGTGCTTCAAAGCTGCTCTCTGAAAGGGAATGTTCAACTCTATGAGTTGAATGCAAACATGACCAAGACGTTTCCGAGAATGCTTCTGTCTAGATTTGATATGAAGATATTCCCGTTTCCAACGAAATCTTCAAATCTATCCAAATGTCCACTTGCAGATTCAACAAAAAGTGTTTTTCAGAACTGCTCTATCAAAAGAAAGATCCACCTCTGTTAGCTGAGTTCACACTTCACAAACAAGTTTATCAGAATGCTTCTGTCTAGTTTTTATTTGAAGATATTTCCTTTCTCACCATAGAGCTGAAAGCTGTCCTAATGTTCACTTCCAGATACTACAGAAAGAGTGTTTCAAAACTGCTGTACGAAAGGGAATGTTCAACTCTGTGACTTGAATGCACACATCACAGAGAAGTTTCTGAGGATGCTGCTGTCTACTTTTTATACCTAATCCCGTTTCCAAAGAAATCCTCCAATCTATCCAAATATCCACTTGCAGATTCCACAGAAAGACTGTTTCAAAACTGCTCTGTCAATAGAAAGGTTCAACTCTGTTAGCTGCGTGCATATATCCCAAAGAAGATTCTGAGATTGCTTCTGTCTAGTTTTTATGGGAAGATATTTCCCTTTTCACCGTAGGCGTCAAGGCGCTCTAAATGTCCACTTCCAGATACTACAAAAAGAGTGTTTCAAACCTACTCTGTGAAAGGGAATATTCAACTCTGTGACTTGAATGCACATATCACAAGGAAGTTTCTGAGAATGCTTCTGTCGAGATTTTATATGAAGATATTCCCGTTTCCAACGAAATCCTGAAATCTATCCAAATATCCCCTCGCAGATTCTACAAAAAGAGTGTTTCAAAACTGCTCTGTAAAAAGAAAGGTTCAACACTGTTAGTTGAGTACACACATCACAAACAAGTTTCACAGAGTGCTTCTTTCTAGCTTGTAGGGGAATATATTCCCTTTATCACCATGGGTCTCAAACCGTCCGAAACGTCCACCTCCATATACTACAAAAAGAGCGTTTCAAACCTGCTCTATGAAAGGCAATGTTCAACTCTGTGACTTGAATGCAGACATCACAGAGCTGTTTCTGAGAATGCTTCTGTCTAGATTTTATAGGAAGATATTCCCGTTTCCAACGAAATCTTCACAGCTATCCAAATATCCACTTGCAGATTCTACAAAAAGAGTGTATCAAAACTCCTCTGTCAAAAGAAGGTTCTTCTCTGTTAGGTGAGTGCATACGTCATAAAGGAGTTTCTGAGAATGTTTCTGTCTAGTGGTTATGGGAAGATATTTCCTTTTTCCCCGTAGGCCTCAGGGCGCTCCAAATGTCCACTTGCACATGCTACAAAAAGAGTGCTTCAAAGCTGCTCTCTGAAAGGGAATGTTCAACTCTATGAGTTGAATGCAAACATCACAAAGACGTTTCTGAGAATGCTTCTGTCTAGATTTGATATGAAGATATTCCCGTTTCCAATGAAATCTTCAAATCTATCCAAATGTCCACTTGCAGATTCAACAAAAAGTGTTTTTCAGAACTGCTCTATCAAAAGAAAGATCCACCTCTGTTAGCTGAGTTCAGACATCACAAACAAGTTTATGAGAATGCTTCTGTCTAGTTTTTATTTGAAGATATTTCCTTTCTCACCATAGAGCTGAAAGCTGTCCTAATGTTCACTTCCAGTTACTACAGAAAGAGTGTTTGAAAACTGCTGTACGAAAGGGAATGTTCAACTCTGTGACTTGAATGCACACATCACAAAGAAGTTTCTGAGGATGCTGCTGTCTACTTTTTATACGTAATCCCGTTTCCAACGAAATCCTCCAAGCTATCCAAATATCCACTTGCAGATTCCACAGAAAGACTGTTTCAAAACTGCTCTGTCAATAGAAAGGTTCAACTCTGTTAGCTGCGTGCATATAACCCAAAGAAGATTCTGAGATTGCTTCTGTCTAGTTTTTATGGGAAGATATTTCCCTTTTCACCGTAGGTGTCAATGTGCTCCAAATGTCCACTTCCAGACACTACAAAAAGAGTGTTTCAAACCTACTCTGTGAAAGGGAATATTCAACTCTGTGACTTGAATGCAGATAACACAAAGAAGTTTCTGAGAATGCTTCTGTCGAGATTTTATATGAAGATATTCCCGTTTCCAAGGAAATCCTGAAATGTATCCAAATATCCCCTCGCAGATTCTACAAAAAGAGTGTTTCAAAACTGCTCTGTAAAAAGAAAGGTTCAACTCTGTTAGTTGAGTACACACATCACAAACAAGTTTCACACAATGCTTCTTTCTAGCTTGTAGGGGAAGATATTCCCTTTATCACCATGGGCCTCAAACCGTCCGAAACGTCTACTTCCATATACTACAAAAAGAGCGTTTCAAACATACTCTATGAAAGGCAATGTTCAACTCTGTGACTTGAATGCAGACATCACAGAGCAGTTTCTGAGAATGCTTCTGTCTAGATTTTATAGGAAGATATTCCCGTTTCCAACGAAATCTTCACAGGTATCCAAATATCCACTTGCAGATTCTACAAAAAGAGTGTATCAAAACTGCTCTGTCAAAAGGAAGGTTCTTCTCTGTTAGGTGAGTGCATACCTCATAAAGGAGTTTCTGAGAATGTTTTCTGTCTAGTGGTTATGGGAAGATATTTGCTTTTTCACCGTAGGCCTCAGAGCGCTCCAAATATCTACTTGCACATACTACAAAAAGAGTGCCACAAAGCTGCTCTCTGAAAGGGAATGTTCAACTCTATGAGTTGAATGCAAACATCACAAAGACGTTTCTGAGAATGCTTCTGTCTAGATTTGATATGAAGATATTCCCGTTACCAACGAAATATTCAAATCTATCCAAATGTCCACTTGCAGATTCAACAAAAAGTGTTTTTCAGAACTGCTCTATCAAAAGAAAGATCCACCTCCTGTTAGCTGAGTTCACACATCACAAACAAGTTTATGAGAATGCTGCTGTCTAGTTTTTATTTGAAGATATTTCCTTTCTCACCATAGACCTGAAAGCTGTCCTAATGTTCACTTCCAGATACTACAGAAAGAGTGTTTCAAAACTGCTGTACGAAAGGGAATGTTCAACTCTGTGACTTGAATGCACACATCACAAAGAAGTTTCTGAGGATGCTGCTGTCTACTTTTTATACGTAATCCCGTTTCCAACGAAATCCTGCAAGCTATCCAAATATCCACTTGCAGATTCCACAGAAAGAATGTTTCAAAACTGCTCTGTCAATAGAAAGGTTCAACTCTGTTAGCTGCGTGCATATATCCCAAAGAAGATTCTGAGATTGCTTCTGTCTAGTTTTTATGGGAAGATATTTCCCTTTTCACCGTAGGCGTCAAGGCGCTTCAAATGTCCACTTCCAGATACTACAAAAAGAGTGTTTCAAACCTACTCTGTGAAAGGGAATATTCAACTACTGTGACTTGAATGCACATATCACAAAGAAGTTTCTGAGAATGCTTCTGTCGAGATTTTATATGAAGATATTCCCGTTTCCAAAGAAATCCTGAAATCTATCCAAATATCCCCTCGCAGATTCTACAAAAAGAGTGTTTCAAAACTGCTCTGTAAAAAGGAAGGTTCAACTCTGTTAGTTGAGTACACACATCACAAACAAGTTTCACAGAATGCTTCTTTCTAGCTTGTAGGGGAAGATATTCCCTTTATCACCATGGGCCTCAAACCGTCCGAAAAGACCACTTCCATATACTACAAAAAGAGCGTTTCAAACCTGCTCTATGAAAGGCAATGTTCAACTCTGTGACTTGAATGCAGACATCACAGAGCAGTTTCTGAGAATGCTTCTGTCTAGATTTTATAGGAAGATATTCCCGTTTCCAAAGAAATCTTCACAGCTATCCAAATATCCACTTGCAGATTCTACAAAAAGAGTGTATCAAAACTGCTCTGTCAAAAGGAAGGTTCTTCTCTGTTAGTTGAGTACATACGTCATAAAGGAGTTTCTGAGAATGTTTCTGTCTAGTGGTTATGGGAAGATATTTGCTTTTTCACCTTAGGCCTCAGAGAGCTCCAAATATCCCCTTGCACATACTACAAAAAGAGTGCTTCAAAGCTGCTCTTTGAAAGGGAATGTTCAACTCTATGAGTTGAATGCAAACATCACAAAGACGTTTCTGAGAATGCTTCTGTCTAGATTTGATATGAAGATATTCCCGTTTCCAACGAAATCTTCATATCTATCCAAATGTCCACTTGCAGATTCAACAAAAAGTGTTTTTCAAAACTGCTGTATCAAAAGAAAGATCCACGTCTGTTAGCTGATGCTCTATCAAAAGAATCTGTCTAGTTTTTATTTGAAGATATATCCTTTCTCACTATAGACCTGAAAGCTCTCCTAAAGTTCACTTCCCGATACTACAGAAAGAGTTTTTCAAAACTGCTGTACGAAAGGGAATGTTCAACTCTGTGACTTGAATGCACACGTCACAAGGAAGATTCTGAGGATGCTGCTGTCTACTTTTTATACGTAATCCCGTTTCCAAAGAAATCCCCCAAGCTATCCAAATATCCACTTGCAGATTCCACAGAAAGACTGTTTCAAAACTGCTCTGTCAATAGAAAGGTTCAACTCTATTAGCTGCGTGCATATATCCCAAAGAAGATTCTGAGATTGCTTCTGTCTAGTTTTTATGGGAAGATATTTCCGTTTTCACCGTAGACGTCAAGGCGCTCCAAATGTCCACTTCCAGATACTACAAAAAGAGTGTTTCAAACCTACTCTGTGAAAGGGAATATTCAACTCTGTGACTTGAATGCAGATATCACAAAGAAGTTTCTGAGAATGCTTCTGTCGAGATTTTATATGAAGATATTCCCGTTTCCAGCGAAATCCTGAAATGTATCCAAATATCCCCTCGCAGATTCTACAAAAAGAGTGTTTCAAAACTGCTCTGTAAAGAGAAAGGTTCAACTCTGTTAGTTGAGTGCACACATCACAAACAAGTTTCACAGAATGCTTCTTTCTAGCTCGTAGGGGAAGATATTCCCTTTATCACCATGGGCCTCAAACCGTCCGAATCGTCCACTTCCATATACTACAAAAAGAGCGTTTCAAACCTGCTCCATGAAAGGCAATGTTCAACTCTGTGACTTGAATGCAGACATCACAGAGCAGTTTCTGAGAATGCTTCTGTCTAGATTTTATAGGAAGATATTCCCGTTTCCAACGAAATCTTCACAGTTATCCAAATATCCACTTGCAGATTCTGCAAAAAGAGTGTATCAAAACTGCTCAGTCAAAAGGAAGGTTCTTCTCTGTTAGGTGAGTGCATACGTCATAACGGAGTTTCTGAGAATGTTTCTGTCTAGTGGTTATGGGAAGATATTTGCTTTTTCACCGTAGGCCTCAGAGCGCTCCAAATATCCACTTGCACATACTACAAAAAGAGTGCCTCAAAGCTGCTCTCTGAAACGGAATGTTCAACTCTATGAGTTGAATGCCAACATCACAAAGACGTTTCTGAGAATGCTTCTGTCTGGACTTGATATGAAGATATTCCCGTTTCCAACGAAATCTTCAAATCTATCCAAATGTCCACTTGCAGATTCAACAAAAAGTGTTTTTCAGAACTGCTCTATCAAAAGAAAGATCCACGGCTCTTAGCTGAGTTCACACATCACGAACAAGTTTATGAGAATGCTTCTGTCTAGTTTTTATTTGAAGATATTTCCTTTCTCACCATAGAGCTGAAAGCTGTCCTAATGTTCATTTCCAGATACTACAGAAAGAGTGTTTCAAAACTGCTGTACGAAAGGGAATGTTCAACTCTGTGACTTGAATGCACACATCACAAAGAAGTTTCTGAGGATGCTGCTGTCTACTTTTTATACGTAATCCCGTTTCCAACGAAATCCTCCAAGCTATCCAAATATCCACTTGCAGATTCCACAGAAAGACTGTTTCAAAACTGCTCTGTCAATAGAAAGGTTCAACTCTGTTAGCTGTGTGCATATATCCCAAAGAAGATTCTGAGATTGCTTCTGTCCAGTTTTTATGGGAAGATATTTCCCTTTTCACCGTAGGCGTCAAGGCGCTCCAAATGTCCACTTCCAGATACTACAAAAAGAGTGTTTCAAACCTACTCTGTGAAAGGGAATATTCAACTCTGTGACTTGAATGCAGATATCACAAAGAAGTTTCTGAGAATGCTTCTGTCGAGATTTTATATGAAGATATTCCCGTTTCCAACGAAATCCTGAAATCTATCTAAATATCCCCTCGCAGATTCTACAAAAAGAGTGTTTCAAAACTGCTCTGTAAAAAGAAAGGTTCAACTCTGTTAGTTGTGTACACACATCACAAACAAGTTTCACAGAATGCTTCTTTCTAGCTTGTAGGGGAAGATATTCCCTTTATCACCATGGGCCTCAAACCGTCCGAAACGTCTACTTCCATATACTACAAAAAGAGCGTTTCAAACCTGCTCTATGAAAGGCAATGTTCAACTCTGTGACTTGAATGCAGACATCACAGAGCAGTTTCTGAGAATGCTTCTGTCTAGATTTTATAGGAAGATATTCCCGTTTCCAATGAAATCTTCACAGCTATCCAAATATCCACTTGCAGATTCTACAAAAAGAGTGTATCAAAACTGCTCTGTCAAAAGGAAGGTTCTTCTCTGTTAGTTGAGTACATACGTCATAAAGGAGTTTCTGAGAATGTTTCAGTCTAGTGGTTATGGGAAGATATTTGCTTTTTCACTGCAGGCCTCACAGCGCTCCAAATATCCACTTGCACATACTACAAAAAGAGTGCTTCAAAGCTGCTCTCTGAAACGGAATGTTCAACTCTATGAGTTGAATGCAAACATCACAAAGACGTTTCCGAGAATGCTTCTGTCTAGATTTGATATGAAGATATTCCCGTTTCCAACGAAATCTTCAAATCTATCCAAATGTCCACTTGCAGATTCAACAAAAAGTGTTTTTCAGAACTGCTCTATCAAAAGAAAGATCCACCTCTGTTAGCTGAGTTCACACTTCACAAACAAGTTTATGAGAATGCTTCTGTCTAGTTTTTATTTGAAGATATATCCTTTCTCACTATAGACCTGAAAGCTCTCCTAAAGTTCACTTCCAGATACTACAGAAAGAGTGTTTCAAAACTGCTGTTCGAAAGGGAATGTTCAACTCTGTGACTTGAATGCACACATCACAAGGATGTTTCTGAGGATGCTGCTGTCTACTTTTTATACGTAATCCCATTTCCAACGAAATCCTCCAAGCTATCCAAATATCCACTTGCAGATTCCACAGAAAGACTGTTTCAAAACTGCTATGTCAATAGAAAAGTTCAACTCAGTTCGCTGTGTGCATATATCCCAAAGAAAATTCTGAGATTGCTTCTGTCTACTTTTTATGAGAAGATATTTCCCTTTTCACTGTAGGCGTCAAGGCGCTCCAAATGTCCACTTCCAGATACTACAAAAAGAGTGTTTCAAACCTACTCTGTGAAAGGGAATATTGAACTCTGTGACTTGAATGCACATATCACAAAGAAGCTTCTGAGAATGCTTTTGTCGAGATTTTATATGAAGATATTCCCGTTTCCAAAGAAATCCTGAAATCTATCCAAATATCCCCTCGCAGATTCTACAAAAAGAGTGTTTCAAAACTGCTCTGTAAAAAGAAAGGTTCAACTCTGTTAGTTGAGTACACACATCACAAACAAGTTTCACAGAATGCTTCTTTCTAGCTTGTAGGGGAAGATATTCCCTTTATCACCATGGGCCTCAAACCGTCCGAAACGTCCACTTCCATATACTACAAAAAGAGCGTTTCAAACCTGCTCTAGGAAAGGCAATGTTCAACCCTGTGACTTGAATGCAGACATCACAGAGCAGTTTCTGAGAATGCTTCTGTCTAGATTTTATAGGAAGATATTCCCGTTTCCAACAAAATCTTCACAGCTATCCAAATATCCACTTGCAGATTCTACAAAAAGAGTGTATCAAAACTGCTCTGTCAAAAGGAAGGTTCTTCTCTGTTAGGTGAGTGCATACCGTCATAAAGGAGTTTCTGAGAATGTTTCTGTCTAGTGGTTATGGGAAGATATTTTCTTTTTCACCGTAGGCCTCAGAGCGCTCCAAATATCCACTTGCACATACTACAAAAAGAGTGTTTCAAAGCTGCTCTCTGAAAGGGAATGTTCAACTCTATGAGTTGAATGCAAACATCACAAAGACGTTTCTGAGAATGCTTCTGTCTAGATTTGATATGAAGATATTCCCGTTTCCAACGAAATCTTCAAATCTATCCAAATGTCCACTTGCAGATTCAACAAAAAGTGTTTTTGAGAACTGCTCTATCAAAAGAAAGATCCACCTCTGTTAGCTGAGTTCACACATCACAAACAAGTTTATGAGAATGCTTCTGTCTAGTTTTTATTTGAAGATATATCCTTTCTCACTATAGACCTGAAAGCTGTCCTAATGTTCACTTCCAGATACTACAGAAAGAGTGTTTCAAAACTGCTGTACGAAAGGGAATGTTCAACTCTGTGACTTGAATGCACACATCACAAAGTAGTTTCTGAGGATGCTGCTGTCTACTTTTTATACGTAATCCCGTTTCCAAGGAAATCCTCCAAGCTATCCAAATATCCACTTGCAGATTCCACAGAAAGACTGTTTCAAAACTGCTCTGTCAATAGAAAGGTTCAACTCTGTTAGTTGCGTGCATATATCCCAAGGAAGATTCTGAGATTGCTTCTGTCTAGTTTTGATGGGAAGATACTTCCCTTTTCACCGTAGGTGTCAAGGCGCTCCAAATGTCCACTTCCAGATACTACAAAAAGAGTGTTTCAAACCTACTCTGTGAAAGGGAATATTCAACTCTGTGACTTGAATGCACATATCACAAAGAAGTTTCTGAGAATGCTTCTGTCGAGATTTTATATGAAGATATTCCCGTTTCCAACGAAATCCTGAAATCTATCCAAGTATCCCCTCGCAGATTCTACAAAAAGAGTGTTTCAAAACTGCTCTGTGAAAAGAAAGGTTCAACTCTGTTAGTTGAGTACACACATCACAAACAAGTTTCACACAATGCTTTCTTTCTAGCTTGCAGGGGAAGATATTCCCTTTATCACCATGGGCCTCAAACCGTCTGAAACGTCCACTTCCATATACTACAAAAAGAGCATTTCAAACCTGCTCTATGAAAGGCAATGTTCAACTCTGTGACTTGAATGCAGACATCACAGAGCAGTTTCTGAGAATGCTTCTGTCTAGATTTTATAGGAAGATATTCCCGTTTCCAATGAAATCTTCACAGCTATCCAAATATCCACTTGCAGATTCTACAAAAAGAGTGTATCAAAACTGCTCTGTCAAAAGGAAGGTTCGTTTCTGTTAGGTGAGTGCATACGTCATAAAGGAGTTTCTGAGAATGTTTCAGTCTAGTGGTTATGGGAAGATATTTGCTTTTTCCCCGTAGGACTCAGAGCGCTCCAAATATCCACTTGCACATACTACAAAAAGAGTGCTTCAAAGCTGCTCTCTGAAACGGAATGTTCAACTCTATGAGTTGAATGCAAACATCACAAAGACGTTTCTGAGAATGCTTCTGTCTAGATTTGATATGAAGATATTCCCGTTTCCAACGAAATCTTCAAATCTATCCAAATGTCCACTTGCAGATTCAACAAAACGTGTTTTTCAGAACTGCTCTATCAAAAGAAAGATCCACGTCTCTTAGCTGAGTTCACACATCACAAACAAGTTTATGAGAATGTTTCTGTCTAGTTTTTATTTGAAGATATTTCCTTTCTCACCATAGAGCTGAAAGCTGTCCTAACGTTGACTTCCAGATACTACAGAAAGAGTGTTTCAAAACTGCTGTACGAAAGGGAATGTTCAACTCTGTGACTTGAATGCTCACATCACAAAGAAGTTTCTGAGGATGCTGCTGTCTACTTTTTATACGTAATTCCGTTTCCAACGAAATCCTCCAAGCTATCCAAATATCCACTTGCAGATTCCACAGAAAGACTGTTTCAAAACTGCTCTGTCAATAGAAAGGTTCAACTCTGTTAGCTGCGTGCATATATCCCAAAGAAGATTCTGAGATTGCTTCTGTCTAGTTTTTATGGGAAGATATTTCCCTTTTCACCGTAGGTGTCAAGGCGCTCCAAATGTCCACTTCCAGATACTACAAAAAGAGTGTTTCAAACCTACTCTGTGAAAGGGAATATTCAACTCTGTGAATTGAATGCACATATCACAAAGAAGTTTCTGAGAAAGCTTCTGTCGAGATTTTATATGAATATATTCCCGTTTCCAACGAAATGCTGAAATGTATCCAAATATCCCCTCGCAGATTCTACAAAAAGAGTGTTTCAAAACTGCTCTGTAAAAAGAAAGGTTCAACTCTGTTAGTTGAGTACACACATCACAAACAAGTTTCACAGAATGCTTCTTTCTAGCTTGTAGGGGAAGATAATCCCTTTATCACCATGGGCCTCCAACCGTCCGAAACATCCACTTCCATATACTACAAAAAGAGCGTTTCAAACCTGCTCTATGAAAGGCAATGTTCAACTCTGTGACTTGAATGCAGACATCACAGAGCAGTTTCTGAGAATGCTTCTGTCTAGCATTTTATAGGAAGATATTCCCGTTTCCAGCGAAATCTTCACAGCTATCCAAATATCCACTTGCAGATTCTACAAAAAGAGTGTATCAAAACTGCTCTGTCAAATGGAAGGTTCTTCTCTGTTAGGTGAGTGCATACGTCATAAAGGAGTTTCTGAGAATGTTTCTGTCTAGTGGTTATGGGAAGATATTTGCTTTTTCACCGAAGGCCTCAGAGCGCTCCAAATATCCACTTGCACATACTACAAAAAGAGTGCTTCAAAGCTGCTCTCTGAAAGGGAATGTTCAACTCTATGAGTTGAATGCAAACATCACAAAGACGTTTCTGACAATGCTTCTGTCTAGATTTGATATGAAGATATTCCCGTTTCCAACGAAATCTTCAAATCTATCCAAATGTCCACTTGCAGATTCAACAAAAAGTGTTTTTCAGATCTGCTCTATCAAAAGAAAGATCCACCTCTGTTAGCTGAGTTCACACATCAGAAACAAGTTTATGAGAATGCTTCTGTCTAGTTTTTATTTGAAGATATTTCCTTTCTCACCATAGACCTGAAAGCTGTCCTAATGTTCACTTAAAGATGCTACAGAAAGAGTGTTTCAAAACTGCTGTACGAAAGGGAATGTTCAACTCTGTGACTTGAATGCACACATCACAAAGAAGTTTCTGAGGATGCTGCTGTCTACTTTTTATACGTAATCCCGTTTCCAATGAAATCCTCCAAGCTATCCAAATATCCACTTGCAGATTCCACAGAAAGACTGTTTCAAAACTGCTCTGTCAATAGAAAGGTTCAACTCTGTTAGCTGCGTGCATATATCCCAAAGAAGATTCTGAGATTGCTTCTGTCTAGTTTTTATGGGAAGATATTTCCCTTTTCACCGTAGGTGTCAAGGCGCTCCAGATGTCCACTTCCAGATACTACAAAAAGAGTGTTTCAAACCTACTCTGTGAAAGGGAATATTCAACTCTGTGACTTGAATGCACATATCACAAAGAAGTTTCTGAGAATGCTTCTGTCGAGATTTTATATGAAGATATTCCCGTTTCCAACGAAATCCTGAAATGTATCCAAATATCCCCTCACAGATTCTACAAAAAGAGTGTTTCAAAACTGCTCTGTAAAAAGAAAGGTTCAACTCTGTTAGTTGAGTGCACACATCACAAACAAGTTTCACAGAATGCTTCTTTCTAGCTTGTAGGGGAATATATTCCCTTTATCACCCTGGGCCTCAAACCGTCTGAAACGTCCACTTCCATATACTTCAAAAAGAGCGTTTCAAACCTGCTCTATGATAGGCAATGTTCAACTCTGTGACTTGAATGCAGACATCACAGAGCTGTTTCTGAGAATGCCTCTGTCTAGATTTTATAGGAAGAAATTCCCGTTTCCAACGAAATCTTCACAGCTATCCAAATATCCACTTGCAGATTCTACAAAAAGAGTGTATCAAAACTGCTCTGTCAAAAGGAAGGTTCTTCTCTGTTAGGTGAGTGCATACGTCATAAAGGAGTTTCTGAGAATGTTTCTGTCTAGTGGTTATGGGAAGATATTTGCTTTTTCACCGTAGGCCTCACAGCGCTCCAAATATCCACTTGCACATACTACAAAAAGAGTGCTTCAAAGCTGCTCTCTGAAACGGAATGTTCAACTCTATGAGTTGAATGCAAACATCACAAAGAGGTTTCTGAGAATGCTTCTGTCTAGATTTGATATGAAGATATTCCCGTTTCCAACGAAATCTTCAAATCTATCCAAATGTCCACTTGCAGATTCCACAAAAAGTGTTTTTCAGAACTGCTCTATCAAAAGAAAGATCCACCTCTGTTAGATGAGTTCACACATCACAAACAAGTTTATGAGAATGCTTCTGTCTAGTTTTTATTTGAAGATATACCCTTTCTCACTATAGACCTCAAAGCTCTCCTAATGTTCACTTCCAGATACTACAGAAAGAGTGTTTCAAAACTGCTGTACGAAAGGGAATGTTCAACTGTGTGTCTTGAATGCACACATCACAAGGAAGTTTCTGAGGATGCTGCTGTCTACTTTTTATACTGTAATCCCGTTTCCAACGAAATCCTCCAAGCTATCCAAATATCCACTTGCAGATTCCACAGAAAGACTGTTTCAAAACTGCTCTGTCAATAGAAAGGTTCAACTCTGTTAGCTGCGTGCATATATCCCAAAGAAGATTCTGAGATTGCTTCTGTCTAGTTTTTATGAGAAGATATTTCCCTTTTCACCGTAGGCGTCAAAGCGCTCCAAATGTCCACTTCCAGATACTACAAAAAGAGTGTTTCAAACCTACTCTGTGAAAGGGAATATTCAACTCTGTGACTTGAATGCACATATCACAATGAAGTTTCTGAGAATGCTTCTGTCGAGATTTTATATGAAGATATTCCCGTTTCCAACGAAATCCTGAAATCTATCCAAATATCCCCTCGCAGATTCTACAACAAGAGTGTTTCAAAACTGTTCTGTAAAAAGAAAGGTTTAACTCTGTTAGTTGAGTACACACATCACAAACAAGTTTCACAGAATGCTTCTTTCTAGCTTGTAGCGGAAGATATTCCCTTTATCACCATGGGCCTCAAACCGTCTGAAACGTCCACTTCCATATACTACAAAAAGAGCATTTCAAACCTGCTGTATGAAAGGCAATGTTCAACTCTGTGACTTGAATGCAGACATCACAGAGCAGTTTCTGAGAATGCTTCTGTCCAGACTTTATAGGAAGATATTCCCGATTCCAACGAAATCTTTACAGCTATCCAAATATCCACTTGCAGATACTACAAAAAGAGTGTATCAAAAAAGCTCTGTCAAAAGGAAAGTTCTTTTCTGCTAGTTGAGTACATACGTCATAAAGAAGTTTCTGAGAATGTTTCTGTCTAGTGGTTATGGGAAGATATTTGCTTTTTCACCATAGGCCTCAGAGCGCTCAAAATGTCCACTTGCACATGCTACAAAAAGATTGCTTCAAAGCTGCTCTCTGAAAGGGAATGTTCAACCCTATCAGTTGAATGCAAACATCACAAAGACGTTTCTGAGAATGCTTCTGTCTAGATTTGATATGAAGATATTCCCGTTTCCAACGAAATCTTCAAATCTATCCAAATGTCCACTTGCAGATTCAACAAAGTGTTTTTCAAAACTGCTGTATCAAAAGAAAGATCCACCTCTGTTAGCTGAGTTCACACTTCACAAACAAGTTTATCAGAATTCTTCTGTCTGGTTTTTATTTGAAGATATTTCCTTTCTCACCATAGACCTGAAAGCTGTCCTAATGTTCACTCCCAGATAATACAGAAAGAGTGTTTCAAAACTGCTGTACGAAAGGGAATGTTCAACTCTGTGACTTGAATGCACACATCACAAAGAAGTTTCTGAGGATGCTGCTGTCTACTTTTTATACGTAATCCCGTTTCCAACGAAATCCTCCAAGCTATCCAAATATCCACTTGCAGATTCCACAGAAAGACTGTTTCAAAACTGCTCTGTCAATAGAAAGGTTGAACTCTGTTAGCTGCGTGCATATATCCCAAAGATGATTCTGAGATTGCTTCTGTCTAGTTTTTATGGGAAGATATTTCCCTTTTCACCGTAGGCGTCAAGGCGCTCCAAATGTCCACTTCCAGATACTACAAAAGGAGTGTTTCAAACCTACTCTGTGAAAGGGAATATTCAACTCTGTGACTTGAATGCAGATATCACAAAGAAGTTTCTGAGAATGCTTCTGTCGAGATTTTATATGAAGATATTCCCGTTTCCAACGAAATCCTGAAATCTATCCAAATATCCCCTCACAGATTCTACAAAAAGAGTGTTTCAAAACTGCTCTGTAAAAAGAAAGGTTCAACTCTGTTAGTTGAGTACACACATCACAAACAAGTTTCACAGAATGCTTCTTTCTAGCTTGTAGGGGAAGATATTTCCTTTATCACCATGGTACTCAAACCGTCCGAAACGTCCACTTCCATATACTAAAAAAGGAGTGTTTGAAACCTGCTCTATGAAAGGCAATGTTCAACTCTGTGACTTGAATGCAGACATCACAGAGCAGTTTCTGAGAATGCTTCTGTCTAGATTTTATAGGAAGATATTCCCGTTTCCAACGAAATCTTCACAGCTATCCAAATATCCACTTGCAGATTCTACAAAAAGAGTGTATCAAAACTGCTCTGTCAAAAGGAAGGTTCTTCTCTGTTAGGTGAGTGCATACGTCATAAAGGATTTTCTGAGAATGTTTCTGTCTAGTGGTTATGGGAAGATATTTGCTTTTTCACCGTAGGCCTCAGAAGCGCTCCAAATATCCACTTGCACATACTACAAAAAGAGTGCTTCAAAGCTGGTCTCTGAAACGGAATGTTCAACTCTATGAGTTGAATGCAAACATCACAAAGACGTTTCTGAGAATGCTTCTGTCTAGATTTGATATGAAGATATACCCGTTTCCAACGAAATCTTCAAATCTATCCAAATGTCCACTTGCAGATTCAACAAAGTGTTTCTCAAAACTGCTGTATCAAAAGAAAGATCCACGTCTGTTAGCTGAGTTCACACATCACAAAGAAGTTTATGAGAATGCTTCTGTCTAGTTTTTATTTGAAGATATTTCCTTTCTCACCATAGACCTGAAAGCTGTCCTAATGTTCACTTCCAGATACTATAGAAAGAGTGTTTCAAAACTGCTGTACGAAAGGGAATGTTCAACTCTGTGACTTGAATGCACACATCACAAAGAAGTTTCTGAGGATGATGCTGTCTAATTTTTATACGTAATCCCGTTTCCAACGAAATCCTCAAAGCTATCCAAATATCCACTTGCAGATTCCACAGAAAGACTGTTTCAAAACTGCTCTGTCAATAGAAAGGTTCAACTCTGTTAGCTGCGTGCATATATCCCAAAGAAGATTCTGAGATTGCTTCTGTCTAGTTTTTATGGGAAGATATTTCCCTTTTCACCGTAGGCGTCAAGGCGCTCCAAATGTCCACTTCCAGATACTACAAAAAGAGTGTTTCAAACCTACTCTGTGAAAGGGAATATTCAACTCTGTGACTTAAAGGCAGATATCACAAAGAAGTTTCTGAGAATGCTTCTGTCGAGATTTTATATGAAGATATTCCCGTTTCCAACGAAATCCTGAAATCTATCCAAATATCCCCTCGCAGATTCTACAAAAGGAGTGTTTCAAAACTGCTCTGTAAAAAGAAAGGTTCAACTCTGTTAGTTGAGTACACACATCACAAACAAGTTTCACAGAATGCTTCTTTCTAGCTTGTAGGGGAAGATATTCCCTTTATCACCATGGGCCTCAAACCGTCCGAAACGTCCACTTCCATATACTACAAAAAGAGCGTTCCAAACCTGCTCTATGAAAGGCAATGTTCAACTCTGTGACTTGAATGCAGACATCACAGAGCAGTTTCTGAGAATGCTTCTGTCTAGATTTTATAGGAAGATATTCCCGTTTCCAACGAAATCTTCACAGCTATCCAAATATCCACTTGCAGATTCTACAAAAAGAGTGTATCAAAACTGCTCCGTCAAAAGGAAGGTTCTTCTCTGTTAGGTGAGTGCATACGTCATAAAGGAGTTTCTGAGAATGTTTCTGTCTAGTGGTTATGGGAAGATATTTGCTTTTTCACCGTAGGCCTCAGAGCCCTCCAAATATCCACTTGCACATACTACAAAGAGAGTGCTTCAAACCTGCTCTCTGAAACGGAATGTTCAACTCTATGAGTTGAATGCAAACATCACAAAGACGTTTCTGAGAATGCTTCTGTCTAGATTTGATATATAGATATTCCCGTTTCCAACGAAATCTTCAAATCTATCCAAATGTCCACTTGCAGATTCAACAAAAAGTGTTTTTCAGAACTGCTCTATCAAAAGAAAGATCCACCTCTGTTAGCTGAGTTCACACATCACAAACAAGTTTATGAGAATGCTTCTGTCTAGTTTTTATTTGAAGATATTTCCTTTCTCACCATAGACCTGAAAGCTGTCCTAATGTTCACTTCCAGATACTACAGAAAGAGTGTTTCAAAACTGCTGTACGAAAGGGAATGTTCAACACTGTGACTTGAATGCACACATCACAAAGAAGTTTCTGAGGATGCTGCTGTCTACTTTTTATACGTAATCCCGTTTCCAACGAAATCCTCCAAGCTATCCAAATATCCACGTGCAGATTCCACAGAAAGACTGTTTCAAAACTGCTCTGTCAATAGAAAGGTTCAACTCTGTTAGCTGCGTGCATATATCCCAAAGAAGATTCTGAGATTCCTTCTGTCTAGTTTTTATGGGAAGATATTTCCCTTTTCACCGTAGGTGTCAAGGCGCTCCAAATGTCCACTTCCAGATACTACAAAAAGAGTGTTTCAAACCTACTCTGTGAAAGGGAATATTCAACTCTGTGACTTAAAGGCAGATATCACAAAGAAGTTTCTGAGAATGCTTCTGTCGAGATTTTATATGAAGATATTCCCCTTTCCAACGAAATCCTGAAATCTATCCAAATATCCCCTCGCAGATTCTACAAAAAGAGTGTTTCAAAACTGCTCTGTGAAAAGAAAGGTTCAACTCTGTTAGTTGAGTACACACATCACAAACAAGTTTCACAGAATGCTTCTTTCTAGCTTGTAGGGGAAGATATTCCCTTTATCACCATGGTCCTCAAACCGTCCGAAACGTCCACTTTCATATACTACAAAAAGAGCGTTTCAAACCTGCTCTAGGAAAGGCAATGTTCAACTCTGTGACTTGAATGCAGACATCACAGAGCAGTTTCTGAGAATGCTTCTGTCTAGATTTTATAGGAAGATATTCCCGTTTCCAACGAAATCTTCACAGCTATCCAAATATCCACTTGCAAATTCTACAAAAAGAGTGTATCAAAACTGCTCTGTCAAAAGGAAGGTTCTTCTCTGTTAGGTGAGTGCACACGTCATACAGGAGTTTCTGAGAATGTTTCTGTCTAGTGGTTATGGGAAGATATTTGCTTTTTCCCCGTATGCCTCAGGGCGCTCCAAATGTCCACTTGCAAATGCTACAAAAAGAGTGCTTCAAAGCTGCTCTCTGAAAGGGAATGTTCAACTCTATGAGTTGAATGCAAACATCACAAAGACGTTTCTGAGAATGCTTCTGTCTAGATTTGATATGACGATATTCCCGTTTCCAACGAAATCTTCAAATCTATCCAAATGTCCACTTGCAGATTCAACAAAACGTGTTTTTCAGAACTGCTCTATCAAAAGAAAGATCCACCTCTGTTAGCTGAGTTCACACATCACAAACAAGTTTATGAGAATGCTTCTGTCTAGTTTTTATTTGAAGATATTTCCTTTCTCACCATAGAGCTGAAAGCTGTTCTAATGTTCACTTCCAGATACTACAGAAAGAGTGTTTCAAAACTGCTGTACGAAAGGGAATGTTCAACTCTGTGACTTGAATGCACACATCACAAAGAAGTTTCTGAGGATGCTGCTGTCTACTTTTTATACGTAATCCTGTTTCCAACGAAATCCTCCAAGCTATCCAAATATCCACTTGCAGATTCCCCAGAAAGACTGTTTCAAAACTGCTCTGTCAATAGAAAGGTTCAACTCTGTTAGCTGCGTGCATATATCCCAAAGAAGATTCTGAGATTGCTTCTGTCTAGTTTTTATGGGAAGATATTTCCCTTTTCACCGTAGGTGTCGAGGCGCTCCAAATGTCCACTTCCAGATACTACAAAAAGAGTGTTTCAAACCTACTCTGTGAAAGGGAATATTCAACTCTGTGACTTGAAGGCAGATATCACAAAGAAGTTTCTGAGAATGCTTCTGTCGAGATTTTATATGAAGATATTCCCGTTTCCAACGAAATCCTGAAGTCTCTCCAAATATCCCCTCGCAGATTCTACAAAAAGAGTGTTTCAAAACTGCTCTGTAAAAAGAAAGGTTCAACTCTGTTAGTTGAGTACACACATCACAAACAAGTTTCACAGAATGCTTCTTTCTAGCTTGTAGGGGAAGATATTCCCTTTATCACCATGGGCCTCAAACCGTCCGAAAAGTCCACTTCCATATACTACAAAAAGAGCGTTTCAAACCTGCTCTAGGAAAGGCAATGTTCAACTCTGTGACTTGAATGCAGACATCACAGAGCAGTTTCTGAGAATGCTTCTGTCTAGATTTTATAGGAAGATATTCCCGTTTCCAACGAAATCTTCACAGCTATCCAAATATCCACTTGCAGATTCTACAAAAAGAGTGTATCAAAACTGCTCTGTCAATAGGAACGTTCTTCTCTGTTAGTTGAGTACAAACGTCATAAAGGAGTTTCTGAGAATGTTTCAGTCTAGTGGTTATGGTTAGACATTTTCTTTAACCCCGTAGGCCTCAGAGCGCTCCAAATATCCACTTGCACATACTACAAAAAGAGTGCTTCAAAGCTGTTCTCTGAAACGGAATGTTCAACTCTATGAGTTGAATGCAAACATCACAAAGACGTTTCTGAGAATGCTTCTGTCTAGATTTCATATGAAGATATTCCTCTTTCCAACGAAATCTTCAAATCTATTCAAATGTCCACTTGCAGATTCAACAAAAAGTGTTTTTCGAAACTGCTGTTTCGAAAGAAAGATCCACCTCTGTTAGCTGAGTTCACACTTCACAAACAAGTTTATCAGAATGCTTCCGTCTAGTTTTTATTTGAAGATATATCCTTTCTCACTATAGACCTGAAAGCTGTCCTAAAGTTCACTTCCAGATACTACAGAAAGAGTGTTTCAAAACTGCTGTACGAAAGGGAATGTTCAACTCTGTGACTTGAATGCACACATCACAAAGAAGTTTCTGAGGATGCTGCTGTCTACTTTTTATACGTAATCCCATTTCCAAAGAAATCCTCCAAGCTATCCAAATATCCACTTGCAGATTCCACAGAAAGACTGTTTCAAAACTGCTCTGTCAATAGAAAGGTTCAACTGCTGTTAGTTGCGTGCATATATCCCAAAGAAGATTCTGAGATTGCTTCTGTCTAGTTTTTATGGGAAGATATTTCCCTTTTCACCGTAGGTGTCAAGGCGTTCAAAATGTCCACTTCCAGATACTACAAAAAGAGTGTTTCAAACCTACTCTGTGAAAGGGAATATTCAACTCTGTGACTTGAATGCACATATCACAAAGAAGTTTCTGAGAATGCTTCTGTCGAGATTTTATATGAAGATATTCCCGTTTCCAACGAAATCCTGAAATGTATCCAAATATCCCCTCGCAGATTCTACAAAAAGAGTGTTTCAAAACTGCTCTGTAAAAAGAAACGTTCAACTCTGTTAGTTGAGTACACACATCACAAACAAGTTTCACAGAATGCTTCTTTCTAGCTTGTAGGGTAACATATTCCCTTTATCACCATGGGCCTCAAACCGTCCGAAACGTCTACTACCATATACTACAAAAAGAGAGTTTCAAACCTGCTCTATGAAAGGCAATGTTCAACTCTGTGACTTGAATGCAGACATCACAGAGCAGTTTCTGAGAATGCTTCTGTCTAGATTTTATAGGAAGATATTCCCGTTTCCAACGAAATCTTCACAGCTATCCAAATATCCACTTGCAGATTCTACAAAAAGAGTGTATCAAAACTGCTCTGTCAAAAGGAAGGTTCTTCTCTGTTAGGTGAGTGCATACGTCATAAAGGAGTTTCTGAGCAATGTTTCTGTCTAGTGGTTATGGGAAGATATTTGCTTTTTCACCTTAGGCCTCAGAGCGCTCCAAATATCCCCTTGCACATACTACAAAAAGAGTGCTTCAAAGCTGTTCTCTGAAAGGGAATGTTCAACTCTATGAGTTGAATGCAAACATCACAAAGACGTTTCCGAGAATCCTTTCTGTCTAGATTTGATATGAAGATATTCCCGTTTCCAACGAAACCTTCAAAACTATCCAAATGTCCACTTGCAGATTCAACAAAAAGTGTTTTTCAGAACTGCTCTATCAAAAGAAAGATCCACCGCTGTTTGCTGAGTTCACACATCACAAACAAGTTTATGAGAATGCTTCTGTCTAGTTTTTATTTGAAGATATTCCCTTTCTCACCATAGACCTGAAAGCTATCCTAATGTTCACTTCCAGATACTACAGAAAGAGTGTTTCAAAACTGCTGTACGAAAGGGAATGTTCAACTCTGTGACTTGAATGCACACATCACAAAGAAGTTTCTGAGGATGCTGCTGTCTACTTTTTATACGTAATCCCGTTTCCAACGAAATCCTCCAAGCTATCCAAATATCCACTTGCAGATTCCACAGAAAGACTGTTTCAAATCTGCTCAGTCAATAGAAAGGTTCAACTCTGTTAGCTGCGTGCATATATCACAAAGAAGATTCTGAGATTGCTTCTGTCTAGTTTTTATGGGAAGATATTTCCCTTTTCACCGTAGGCGTCAAGGCGCTCCAAATGTCCACTTCCAGATACTACAAAAAGAGTGTTTCAAACCTACTCTGTGAAAGGGAATATTCAACTCTGTGACTCGAATGCACATATCACAAAGAAGTTTCTGAGAATGCTTCTGTCGAGATTTTATATGAAGATATTCCCGTTTCCAACGAAATCCTGAAATGTATCCAAATATCCCCTCGCAGATTCTAAAAAAAGAGTGTTTCAAAACTGCTCTGTAAAAAGAAAGGTTCAACTCTGTTAGTTGAGTACACACATCACAAACAAGTTTCACACAATGCTTCTTTCTAGCTTGTAGGGGAAGATATTCCCTTTATCACCATGGGCCTCAAACCGTCCGAAACGTTTACTTCCATATACTACAAAAAGAGCGTTTCAAACCTGCTCTAGGAAAGGCAATGTTCAACTCTGTGACTTGAATGCAGACATCACAGAGCAGTTTCTGAGAATGCTTCTGTCTAGATTTTATAGGAAGATATTCCCGTTTCCAACGAAATCTTCACAGCTATCCAAATATCCACTTGCAGATTCTACAAAAAGAGTGTATCAAAACTGCTCTGTCAAAAGGAAGGTTCTTCTCTGTTAGGTGAGTGCATACGTCATAAAGGAGTTTCTGAGAATCTTTCTGTCTAGTGGTTATGGGAAGATATTTGCTTTTTCACCGTAGGCCTCAGAGCGCTCCAAATATCCACTTGCACATACTACAAAAAGAGTGCTTCAAAGCTGCTCTCTGAAACGGAATGTTCAACTCTATGAGTTGAATGCAAACATCACAAAGACGTTTCCGAGAATGCTTCTGTCTAGATTTGATATGAAGATATTCCCGTTCCCAACGAAATCTTCAAATCTATCCAAATGTCCACTTGCAGATTCAACAAAAAGTTTTTTTCAGAACTGCTCTATCAAAAGAAAGATCCACCTCGGTTAGCTGAGTTCACACATCACAAAGAAGTTTATGAGAATGCTTTCTGTCTAGTTTTTATTTGAAGATATTTCCTTTCTCAACATAGACCTGAAAGCTCTCCTAATGTTCACTTCCAGATACTACAGAAAGAGTGTTTCAAAACTGCTGTACGAAAGGGAATGTTCAACTCTGTGACTTGAATGCACACATCACAAAGAAGTTTCTGAGGATGCTGCTGTCTACTTTTTATACATAATCCCGTTTCCAACGAAATCCTCCAAGCTATCCAAATATCCACTTGCAGATTCCACAGAAAGACTGTTTCAAAACTGCTCTGTCAATAGAAAGGTTCAACTCTGTTAGCTGCGTGCATATATCACAAAGAAGATTCTGAGATTGCTTCTGTCTAGTTTTTATGGGAAGATATTTCCCTTTTCACGCGGTAGGAGTCAAGGCGCTCCAAATGTCCACTTCCAGATACTACAAAAAGAGTGTTTCAAACCTACTCTGTGAACGGGAATATTCAACTCTGTGACTTGAATGCACATATCACAAAGAAGTTTCTGAGAATGCTTCTGTCGAGATTTTGTATGAAGATATTCCCGTTTCCAACGAAATCCTGAAATCTATCCAAATTTCCCTTCGCAGATTCTACAAAAAGAGTGTTTCAAAACTGCTCTGTAAAAAGAAAGGTTCAACTCTGTTAGTTGAGTACACACATCACAAACAAGTTTCACAGAATGCTTCTTTCTAGCTTGTAGGGGAAGATATTCCCTTTATCACCATGGGCCTCCAACCGTCCGAAACATCCACTTCCATATAATACAAAAAGAGCGTTTCAAACCTGCTCTATGAAAGGCAATGTTCAACTCTGTGACTTGAATGCAGACATCACAGAGCAGTTTCTGAGAATGCTTCTGTCCAGACTTTATAGGGAGATATTCCCGTTTCCAACGAAATCTTCACAGCTATCCAAATATCCACTTGCAGATAGTACAAAAAGAGTGTATCAAAAATGCTCTGTCAAAAGGAAAGTTCTTCTCTGCTAGTTGAGTACATACGTCATAAAGAAGTTTCTGAGAATGTTTCTGTCTAGTGGTTATGGGAAGATATTTGCTTTTTCACCGTAGGCCTCAGAGCGCTCCAAATATCCACTTGCACATACTACAAAAAGAGTGCTTCAAAGCTGGTCTCTGAAACGGAATGTTCAACTCTATGAGTTGAATGCAAACATCACAAAGACATTTCTGAGAATGCTTCTGTCTAGATTTGATATGAAGATATTCCCGTTTCCAACGAAGTCTTCAAATCTATCCAAATGTCCACTTGCAGATTCAACCAAAAGTGTTTTTCAGAACTGCTCTATCAAAAGAAAGATCCACCTCTGTTAGCTGAGTTCAGACATCACAAACAAGTTTATGAGAATGCTTCTGTCTAGTTTTTATTTGAAGATATTTCCTTTCTCACCATAGACCTGAAAGCTGTCCTAATGTTCACTTCCAGATACTACAGAAAGAGTGTTTCAAAACTGCTGTACGAAAGGGAATGTTCAACTCTGGGACTTGAATGCACACATCACAAAGAAGTTTCTGAGGATGCTGCTGTCTACTTTTTATACATAATCCCGTTTCCAACGAAATCCTCCAAGCTATCCAAATATCCATTTGCAGATTCCACAGAAAGACTGTTTCAAAACTGCTCTGTCAATAGAAAGGTTCAACTCTGTTAGCTGCGTGCATATATCCCAAAGAAGATTCTGAGATTGCTTCTGTCTAGTTTTTATGGGAAGATATTTCCCTTTTCACCGTAGGCGTCAAGGCGCTCCAAATGTCCACTTCCAGATACTACAAAGAGTGTTTCAAACCTACTCTGTGAAAGGGAATATTCAACTCTGTGACTTGAATGCAGATATCACAAAGAAGTTTCTGAGAATGCTTCTGTCGAGATTTTATATGAAGATATTCCCGTTTCCAACGAAATCCTGAAATCTATCCAAATTTCCCCTCGCAGATTCTACAAAAAGAGTGTTTCAAAACTGCTCTGTAAAAAGAAAGGTTCAACTCTGTTAGTTGAGTACACACATCACAAACAAGTTTCACACAATGCTTCTTTCTAGCTTGTAGGGGAAGATATTCCCTTTATCACCATGGGCCTCAAACAGGCCGAAACGTCCACTTCCATATACTACAAAAAGAGCGTTTCAAACCTGTTCTAGGAAAGGCAATGTTCAACTCTGTGACTTGAATGCAGACATCACAGAGCAGTTTCTGAGAATGCTTCTGTCCAGACTTTATAGGAAGATATTCCCGTTTCCAACGAAATCTTCACAGCTATCCAAATATCCACCTGCAGATACTACAAAAAGAGTGTATCAAAAATGCTCTCTCAAAAGGAAAGTTCTTCTCTGCTAGTTGAGTACATACGTCATAAAGAAGTTTCTGAGAATGTTTCTGTTTAGTGGTTATGGGAAGATATTTGCTTTTTCACCTTAGGCCTCAGAGCGCTCCAAATATCCCCTTGCACATACTACAAAAAGAGTGCTTCAAAGCTGCTCTCTGAAACGGAATGTTCAACTCTATGAGTTGAATGCAAACATCACAAAGACGTTTCCGAGAATGCTTCTGTCTAGATTTGATATGAAGATATTCCCGTTTCCAACGAAATCTTCAAATCTATCCAAATGTCCACTTGCAGATTCAACAAAAAGTGTTTTTCAGAACTGCTCTATCAAAAGAAAGATCCACGTGTGTTAGCTGAGTTCACACATTACGAACAAGTTTATGAGAATGCTTCTGTCTAGTTTTTATTTGAAGATATTTCCTTTCTCACCATAGACCTGAAAGCTGTCCTAATGTTCACTTCCAGATACTACAGAAAGAGTGTTTCAAAACTGCTGTACGAAAGGGAATGTTCAACTCTGTGACTTGAATGCACACATCACAAAGAAGTTTCTGAGTATGCTGCTGTCTACTTTTTATATGTAATACCGTTTCCAACGAAATCCTCCAAGCTATCCAAATATCCACTTGCAGATTCCACAGAAAGACTGTTTCAAAACTGCTCTGTCAATAGAAAGGTTCAACTCTGTTAGCTGCATGCATATATCCCAAAGAAGATTCTGAGATTGCTTCTGTCTAGTTTTTATGGGAAGATATTTCCCTTTTCACCGTGGCGTCAAGGCGCTCCAAATGACCACTTCCAGATACTACAAAAAGAGTGTTTCAAACCTACTCTGTGAAAGGGAATATTCAACTCTGTGACTTGAATGCACATATCACAAGGAAGTTTCTGAGAATGCTTCTGTCGAGATTTTATGTGAAGATACTCCCGTTGCCAACGAAATCCTGAAATCTATCCAAATATCCCCTCGCAGATTCTACAAAAAGAGTGTTTCAAAACTGCTCTGTAAAAAGAAAGGTTCAACTCTGTTAGTTGAGTACACACATCACAAACAAGTTTCACAGAATGCTTCTTTCTAGCTTTTAGGGGAAGATATTCCCTTTATCACCATGGGCCTCAAACCGTCTGAAACGTCCACTTCCATATACTACAAAAAGAGCATTTCAAACCTGCTCTATGAAAGGCAATGTTCAACTCTGTGACTTGAATGCAGACATCACAGAGCAGTTTCTGAGAATGCTTCTGTCTAGATTTTATAGGAAGATATTCCCGTTTCCAACGAAATCTTCACAGGTATCCAAATATCCACTTGCAGATTCTACAAAAAGAGTGTATCAAAACTGCTCTGTCAAAAGGAAGGTTCTTCTCTGTTAGGTGAGTGCATACCGTCATAAAGGAGTTTCTGAGAATGTTTCTGTCTAGTGGTTATGGGAAGATATTTGCTTTTTCACCGTAGGCCTCAGAGCGCTCCAAATATCCACTTGCATATACTACAAAAAGAGTGCTTCAAAGCTGCTCTCTGAAACGGAATGTTCAACTCTATGAGTTGAATGCAAACATCACAAAGACGTTTCTGAGAATGCTTCTGTCTAGATTTGATATGAAGATATTCCCGTTTCCAACGAAATCTTCAAATCTATCCAAATGTCCACTTGCAGATTCAAAAAAAAGTGTTTTTCAGAACTGCTCTATCAAAAGAAAGATCCACGTGTGTTAGCTGAGTTCACACATTACGAACAAGTTTATGAGAATGCTTCTGTCTAGTTTTTATTTGAAGATATTTCCTTTCTCACCATAAACCTGAAAGCTGTCCTAATGTTCACTTCCAGATACTACAGAAAGAGTGTTTCAAAACTGCTGTACGGAAGGGAATGTTCAACTCTGTGACTTGAATGCACACATCACAAAGAAGTTCCTGAGGATGCTGCTGTCTACTTTTTATACGTAATCCCGTTTCCAACGAAATCCTCCAAGCTATCCAAATATCCACTTGCAGATTCCACAGAAAGATTGTTTCAAAACTGCTCTGTCAATAGAAAGGTTCAACTCTGTTAGCTGCGTGCATATATCCCAAAGAAGATTCTGAGATTGCTTCTGTCTAGTTTTTATGGGAAGATATTTCCCTTTTCACCGTAGGCGTCAAAGCGCTCCAAATGCCCACTTCCAGATACTACAAAAAGAGTGTTTCAAACCTACTCTGTGAAAGGGAATATTCAACTCTGTGACTTGAATGCAGATATCACAAAGAAGTTTCTGAGAATGCTTCTGTCGAGATTTTATATGAAGATATTCCCGTTTCCAACGAAATCCTGAAATCTATCCAAATATCCCCTTGCAGATTCTACAAAAAGAGTGTTTCAAAACTGCTCTGTAAAAAGAAAGGTTCAACTCTGTTAGTTGAGTACACACATCACAAACAAGTTTCACACAATGCTTCTTTCTAGCTTGTAGGGGAAGATATTTCCTTTATCACCATGGTCCTCAAACCGTCCGAAACGTCCACTTCCATATACTAAAAAAAGAGTGTTTGAAACCTGCTCTATGAAAGGCAATGTTCAACTCTGTGACTTGAATGCAGACATCACAGAGCAGTTTCTGAGAATGCTTCTGTCCAGACTTTATAGGAAGATATTCCCGTTTCAAACGAAATCTTCACAGCTATCCAAATATCCACTTGCAGATACTACAAAAAGAGTGTATCAAAAGTGCTCTGTCAAAAGGAAAGTTCTTCTCTGCTAGTTGAGTACATACGTCATAAAGAAGTTTCTGAGAATGTTTCTGTCTAGTGGTTATGGGAAGATATTTGCTTTTTCACCTTAGGCCTCAGAGCGCTCCAAATATCCACTTGCACATACTACAAAAAGAGTGCTTCAAAGCTGCTCTCTGAACCGCAATGTTCAATTCTATGAGTTGAATGCAAACATCACAAAGACGTTTCTGAGAATGCTTCTGTCTAGATTTGATATGAAGATATTCCCGTTTCCAACGAAATCTTGAAATCTATCCAAATGTCCACTTGCAGATTCAACAAAGTGTTTTTCAGAACTGCTCTATCAAAAGAAAGATCCACGTGTGTTAGCTGAGTTCACACATCACAAACAAGTTGATGAGAATGCTTCTGTCTAGTTTTTATTTGAAGATATTTCCTTTCTCACCATAGAACTGAAAGCTGTCCTAATGTTCACTTCCAGATACTACAGAAAGAGTGTTTCAAAACTGCTGTACGAAAGGGAATGTTCAACTCTGTGACTTGAATGCACACATCACAAAGAAGTTTCTGAGGATGCTGCTGTCTACTTTTTATACGTAATCCCGTTTCCAACGAAATCCTCCAAGCTATCCAAATATCCACTTGCAGATTGCACAGAAAGACTGTTTCAAAACTGCTCTGTCAATAGAAAGGTTCAACTCTGTTAGCTGCGTGCATATATCCCAAAGAAGATTCTGAGATTGCTTCTGTCTAGTTTTTATGGGAAGATATTTCCCTTTTCACCGTAGGTGTCAAGGCGCTCCAAATGTCCACTTCCAGATACTACAAAAAGAGTGTTTCAAACCTACTCTGGGAAAGGGAATATTCAACTCTGTGACTTGAATGCACATATCACAAAGAAGTTTCTGAGAATGCTTCTGTCGAGATTTTATATGAAGATATTCCCGTTTCCAACGAAATGCTGAAATGTATCCAAATATCCCCTCGCAGATTCTACAAAAAGAGTGTTTCAAAACTGCTCTGTAAAAAGAAAGGTTCAACTCCTGTTAGTTGAGTACACACATCACAAACAAGTTTCACAGAATGCTTTCTTTCTAGCTTGTAGGGGAAGATATTCCCTTTGTCACCATGGGCCTCCAACCGTCCGAAACATCCACTTCCATATACTACAAAAAGAGCGTTTCAAACCTGCTCTATGAAAGGCAATGTTGAACTCTGTGACTTGAATGCAGACATCACAGAGCAGTTTCTGAGAATGCTTCTGTCCAGAGTTTATAGGAAGATATTCCCGTTTCCAACGAAATCTTCACAGCTATCCAAATATCCACTTGCAGATACTAAAAAAGAGTGTATCAAAAGTGCTCTGTCAAAAGGAAAGTTCTTCTCTGCTAGTTGAGTAAATTCGTCATAAAGAAATTTCTGAGAATGTTTCTGTCTAGTGGTTATGGGAAGATATTTGCTTTTTCACCTTAGGCCTCAGAGCGCTCCAAATATCCCCTTGCACATACTACAAAAAGAGTGCTTCAAAGCTCCTCTCTGAAAGGGAATGTTCAACTCTATGAGTTGAATGCAAACATCACAAAGACGTTTCTGAGAATGCTTCTGTCTAGATTTGATATGAAGATATTCCCGTTTCCAACGAAATCTTCAAATCTATCCAAATATCCACTTGCAGATTCAACAAAAAGTGTTTTTCAGAACTGCTCTATCAAAAGAAAGATCCACCTCTGTTAGCTGAGTTCACACATCACAAACAAGTTTATGAGAATGCTTTTGTCTAGTTTTTATTTGAAGATATTTTCTTTCTCACCATAGACCTGAAAGCTGTCCTAATGTTCACTTCCAGATACTACAGAAAGAGTGTTTCAAAACTGCTGTACAAAAGGGAATGTTCAACTCTGTGACTTGAATGCACACATCACAAAGAAGTTTCTGAGGATGCTGCTGTCTACTTTTTATACTTAATCCCGTTTCCAACGAAATCCTCCAAGCTATCCAAATATCCACTTGCAGATTCCACAGAAAGACTGTTTCAAAACTGCTCTGTCAATAGAAAGGTTCAACTCTGTTAGCTGCGTGCATATATCCCAAAGAAGATTCTGAGATTGCTTCTGTCTAGTTTTTATGGGAAGATATTTCCCTTTTCACCGTGGGCGTCAAGGCGCTCCAAATGTCCACTTCCAGATACTACAAAAAGAGTGTTTCAAACCTACTCTGTGAAAGGGAATATTCAACTCTGTGACTTGAATGCACATATCACAAGGAAGTTTCTGAGAATGCTTCTGTCGAGCATTTTCTATGAAGATATTCCCGTTTCCAACGAAATCCTGAAATCTATCCAAATATCCCCTCGCAGATTCTACAAAAAGAGTGTTTCAAAACTGCTCTGTAAAAAGAAAGGTTCAACTCTGTTAGTTGAGTACACACATCACAAACAAGTTTCACAGAATGCTTCTTTCTAGCTTATAGGGGAAGATATTCCCTTTATCACCATGGGCCTCAAACCGTCCGAAACGTCCACTTCCATATACTACAAAAAGAGCGTTTCAAACCTGCTCTAGGAAAGGCAATGTTCAACTCTGTGACTTGAATGCAGACATCACAGAGCAGTTTCTGAGAATGCTTCTGTCTAGATTTTATAGGAAGATATTCCCGTTTCCAACGAAATCTTCACAGCTATCCCAATATCCACTTGCAGATTCTACAAAAAGAGTGTATCAAAACTGCTCTGTCAAAAGGAAGGTTCTTCTCTGTTAGGTGAGTGCATACGTCATAAAGGAGTTTCTGAGAATGTTTCTGTCTAGTGGTTATGGGAAGATATTTGCTTTTTCACCTTAGGCCTCAGAGCGCTCCATATATCCCCTTGCACATACTACAAAAAGAGTGCTTCAAAGCTGCTCTCTGAAAGGGAATGTTCAACTCTATGAGTTGAATGCAAACATCAGAAAGACGTTTCTGAGAATGCTTCTGTCTAGATTTGATATGAAGATATTCCCGTTTCCAACGAAATCTTCAAATCTATCCAAATGTCCACTTGCAGATTCAACAAAAAGTGTTTTTCCGAACTGCTCTATCAACAGAAAGATCCGCCTCTGTTAGCTGAGTTCCCACATCACAAACAAGTTTATGAGAATGCTTCTGTCTAGTTTTTACTTGAAGATATTTCCTTTCTCACCATAGACCTGAAAGCTGTCCTAATGTTCACTTCCAGATACTACAGAAAGAGTGTTTCAAAACTGCTGTACGAAAGGGAATGTTCAACTCTGTGACTTGAATGCACACATCACAAAGAAGTTTCTGAGGATGCTGCTGTCTACTTTTTATACGTAATCCCGTTTCCAACGAAATCCTCCAAGCTATCGAAATATCCACTTGCAGATTCCACAGAAAGAGTGTTTCAAAACTGCTCTGTCAATAGAAAGGTTCAACTCTGTTAGCTGCGTGCATATATCCCAAAGAAGATTCTGAGATTGCTTCTGTCTAGTTTTTATGGGAAGATATTTCCCTTTTCACCGTAGGTGTCAAGGCGCTCCAAATGTCCACTTCCAGATACTACAAAAAGGGTGTTTCAAACCTACTCTGTGAAAGGGAATATTCAACTCTGTGACTTGAATGCACATATCACAAAGAAGTTTCTGAGAATGCTTCTGTCGAGATTTTATATGAAGATATTCCCGTTTCCAATGAAATCCTGAAATCTATCCAATTATCCCCTCGCAGATTCTACAAAAAGAGTGTTTCAAAACTGCTCTGTAAAAAGAAAGGTTCAACTCTGTTAGTTGAGTACACACATCACAAACAAGTTTCACAGAATGCTTCTTTCTAGCTTGTAGGGGAAGATACTCCCTTTATCACCATGGGCCTCCAACCGTCCGAAACATCCACTTCCATATACTACAAAAAGAGCGTTTCAAACCTGCTCTATGAAAGGCAATGTTCAACTCTGTGACTTGAATGCAGACATCACAGAGCAGTTTCTGAGAATGCTTCTGTCTAGATTTTATAGGAAGATATTCCCGTTTCCAACGAAATCTTCACAGCTATCCAAATATCCACTTGCAGATTCTACAAAAAGAGTGTATCAAAACTGCTCTGTCAAAAGAAAGGTTCTTTTCTGTTAGGTGAGTGCATACGTCATAAAGGCGTTTCTGAGAATGTTTCTGTCTAGTGGTTATGGGAAGATATTTGCTTTTTCACCTTAGGCCTCACAGCGATCCAAATATCCACTTGCACATACTACAAAAAGAGTGCTTCAAAGCTGCTGCTCTGAAACGGAATGTTCAACTCTATGAGTTGAATGCAAACATCACAAAGACGTTTGCTGAGAATGCTTCTGTCTAGATTTGATATGAAGATATTCCCGTTTCCAACGAAATCTTCATATCTATCCAAATGTCCACTTGCAGATTCAACAAAAAGTGTTTTTCAAAACTGCTGTATCAAAAGAAAGATCCACGTCTGTTAGCTGAGTTCACACATCAGAAACAAGTTTATGAGAATGCTTCTGTCTAGTTTTTATTTGAAGATATTTCCTTTCTCACCATAGACCTGAAAGCTGTTCTAATGTTCACTTCCAGATGCTACAGAAAGAGTGTTTCAAAACTGCTGTACGAAAGGGAATATTCAACTCTGTGACTTGAATGCACACATCACAAAGAAGTTTCTGAGGATGCTGCTGTCTACTTTTTATACGTAATCCCGTTTCCAACGAAATCCTCCAAGCTATCCAAATATCCACATGCAGATTCCACAGAAAGACTGTTTCAAAACTGCTCTGTCAATAGAAAGGTTCAACTCTGTTAGCTGCGTGCATATATCCCAAAGAAGATTCTGAGATTGCTTCTGTCTACTTTTTATGAGAAGATATTTCCCTTTTCACCGTAGGCGTCAAGGCGCTCCAAATGTCCACTTCCAGACTACTACAAAAAGGGTTTTTCAAACCTAGTCTGTGAAAGGGAATATTCAACTCTGTGACTTGAATGCACATATCACAAAGAAGTTTCTGAGAATGCTTCTGTCGAGATTTTATATGAAGATATTCCCGTTTCCAACGAAATCCTGAAATCTATCCAAATATCCCCTCGCAGATTCTACAAAAAGGGTGTTTCAAAACTGCTCTGTAAAAAGAAAGGTTCAACTCTGTTAGTTGAGTACACACATCACAAACAAGTTTCACAGAATGCTTCTTTCTAGCTTGTAGGGGAAGATATTCCCTTTATCACCATGGGCCTCCAAGCGTCCGAAACATCCACTTCCATATACTACAAAAAGAGCGTTTCAAACCTGCTCTATGAAAGGCAATGTTCAACTCTGTGACTTGAATGCAGACATCACAGAGCAGTTTCTGAGAATGCTTCTGTCTAGGTTTTATAGGAAGATATTCCCTTTTCCAACGAAATCTTCCAAGCTATCCAAATATCCACTTGCAGATTCTACAAAAAGAGTGTATCAAAACTGCTCTGTCAAAAGGAAGGTTCTCCTCTGTTAGTTGAGTACATACGTCATAAAGGAGTTTCTGAGAATGTTTCTGTCTAGTGGTTATGGGAAGATATTTGCTTTTTCACCTTAGGCCTCAGAGCGCTCCATATATCCCCTTGCACATACTACAAAAAGAGTGCTTCAAATCTGCTCTCTGAAAGGGAATGTTCAACTCTATGAGTTGAATGCAAACATCACAAAGACGTTTCTGAGAATGCTTCTTTCTAGATTTGATATGACGATATTCCCGTTTCCAACGAAATCTTCAAATCTATCCAAATGTCCACTTGCAGATTCAACAAAACGTGTTTTTCAGAACTGCTCTATCAAAAGAAAGATCCACCTCTGTTAGCTGAGTTCACACATCACAAACAAGTTTTTGAGAATGCTTCTGTCTAGTTTTTATTTGAAGATATTTCCTTTCTCACCATAGACCTGAAAGCTGTCCTAATGTTCACTTCCAGATACTACAGAAAGAGTGTTTCAAAACTGCTGTACGAAAGGGAATGTTCAACTCTGTGACTTGAATGCACACATCACAAAGAAGTTTCTGAGCATGCTGCTGTCTACTTTTGATACGTAATCCCGTTTCCAACGAAATCCTCCAATCTATCCAAATATCCACTTGCAGATTCCACAGAAAGACTGTTTCAAAACTGCTCTGTCAATAGAAAGGTTCAACTCTGTTAGCTGCGTGCATATATCCCAAAGAAGATTCTGAGATTGCTTCTGTCTAGTTTTTATGGGAAGATATTTCCCTTTTCACCGTAGGCGTCAAGGCGCTCCAAATGTCCACTTCCAGATACTACAAAAAGAGTGTTTCAAACCTACTCTGTGAAAGGGAATATTCACCTCTGTGACTTGAATGCAGATATCACAAAGAAGTTTCTGAGAATGCTTCTGTCGAGATTTTAAATGAAGATATTCCCGTTTCCAACGAAATCCTGAAATCTATCCAAATATCCCCTCGCAGATTCTACAAAAAGTGTGTTTCAAAACTGCTCTGTAAAAAGAAAGGTTCAACTCTCTTAGTTGAGTACACACATCACAAACAAGTTTCACAGAATGCTTCTTTCTAGCTTGTAGGGGAAGATATTCCCTTTAACACCATGGGCCGCAAACCGTCTGAAACGTCCACTTCCATATACTACAAAAAGAGCGTTTCAAACCTGCTCTATGAAAGGCAATGTTCAACTCTGTGACTTGAATGCAGACATCACAGAGCAGTTTCTGAGAATGCTTCTGTCTAGATTTTATGGGAAGATATTCCCGTTTCCGACGAAATCTTCACAGCTATCCAAATATCCACTTGCAGATTCTACAAAAAGAGTGTATCAAAACTGCTCTGTCAAAAGGAAGGTTCTTCTCTGTTAGGTGAGTGCATACGTCATAAAGGAGTTTCTGAGAATGTTTCTGTCTAGTGGTTATGGGAAGATATTTGCTTTTTCACCGTAGGCCTCACAGCGCTCCAAATATCCACTTGCACATACTACAAAAAGAGTGCTTCAAAGCTGCTCTCTGAAACGGAATGTTCAACTCTATGAGTTGAATGCAAACATCACAAAGACGTTTCTGAGAATGCTTCTGTCTAGATTTGATATGAAGTTATTCCCGTTTCCAACGAAATCTTCAAATCTATCCAAATGTCCACTTGCAGATTCAACAAAAAGTGTTTTTCAGAACTGCTCTATCAAAAGAAAGATCCACCTCTGTTAGCTGAGTTCACACATCACAAACAAGTTTATGAGAATGCTTCTGTCTAGTTTTTATTTGAAGATATTTCCTTTCTCACCATAGACCTGAAAGCTGTCCTAATGTTCACTTCCAGTTACTACAGAAAGAGTATTTCAAAACTGCTGTACGAAAGGGAATGTTCAACTTCTGTGACTTGAATGCACACATCACAAAGAAGTTTCCTGAGGATGCTGCTGTCTACTTTTTATACGTAATCCCGTTTCCAACGAAATCCTCCAAGCTATCCAAATATCCACTTGCAGATTCCACAGAAAGACTGTTTCAAAACTGCTCTGTCAATAGAAAGTTTCAACTCTGTTAACTGCGTGCATATATCCCAAAGAAGATTCTGAGATTGCTTCTGTCTAGTTTTTATGGGAAGATATTTCCCTTTTCACCGTAGACGTCAAGGCGCTCCAAATGTCCACTTCCAGATACTACAAAAAGAGTGTTTCAAACCTACTCTGTGAAAGGGAATATTCAACTCTGTGACTTGAATGCAGATATCACAAAGAAGTTTCTGAGAATGCTTCTGTCGAGATTTTATATGAAGATATTCCCGTTTCCAACGAAATGCTGAAATCTATCCAAATATCCCCTCGCAGATTCTACAAAAAGAGTGTTTCAAAACTGCTCTGTGAAAAGAAAGGTTCAACTCTGTTAGTTGAGTACACACATCACAAACAAGTTTCACACAATGCTTCTTTCTAGCTTGTAGGAGAAGATATTCCCTTTATCACCATGGGCCTCAAACCGTCCGAAACGTCCACTTCCATATACTACAAAAAGAGTGTTTCAAACCTGCTCTATGAAAGGCAATGTTCAACTCTGTAACTTGAATGCAGACATCACAGAGCACTTTCTGAGAATGCTTCTGTCTAGATTTTATAGGAAGATATTCCCGTTTCCAACGAAATCTTCACAGCTATCCAAATATCCACTTTCAGATTCTACAAAAAGTATGTATCAAAACTGCTCTGTCCAAAGGAAGGTTCTTCTCTGTTAGGTGAGTGCATACGTCATAAAGGAGTTTCTGAGAATGTTTCTTTCTGGTGGTTATGGGAAGATATTTGCTTTTTCACCGAAGGCCTCAGAGCGCTCCAGATATCCACTTGCACATACTACAAAATGAGTGCCTCAAAGCTGCTCTCTGAAACGGAATGTTCAACTCTATGAGTTGAATGCAAACATCACAAAGACGTTTCCGAGAATGCTTCTGTCTAGTATTTGATATGAAGATATCCCCGTTTCCAACGAAATCTTCAAATCTATCCAAATGTCCACTTGCAGATTCAACAAAAAGTGTTTTTCAGAACTGCTCTATCAAAAGAAAGATCCACCTCTGTTAGCTGAGTTCACACATCACAAACAAGTTTATGAAAATGCTTCTGTCTAGTTTTTATTTGAAGATATTTCCTTTCTCACCATAGACCTGAAAGCTATCCCAATGTTCACTTCCAGATACTACAGAATGAGTGTTTCAAAACTGCTGTACGAAAGGTGATGTTCAACTCTGTGACTTGAATGCACACATCACAAAGAAGTTTCTGAGGATGCTGCTGTCTACTTTTTATACGTGATCCTGTTTCCAACGAAATCCTCCAAGCTATCCAAATATCCACTTGCAGATTCCACAGAAAGACTGTTTCAAAACTGCTCGGTCAATAGAAAGGTTCAACTCTCTTAGCTGGGTGCATGTATCCCAAAGAGGATTCTGAGATTGCTTCTGTCTACTTTTCATGAGAAGATATTTCCCTTTTCACCGTAGGCGTCAAGGTGCTCCAAATGTCCACTTCCAGATACTACAAAAAGAATGTTTCAAACCTACTCTGTGAAAGGGAATATTCAACTCTGTGACTTGAATGCACATATCACAAAGAAGCTTCTGAGAATGCTTCTGTCGAGTATTTTCTATGAAGATATTCCCGTTTCCAACGAAATCCTGAAATCTATCCAAATATCCCCTCGCAGATTCTACAAAAAGAGTGTTTCAAAACTGCTCTGTAAAAAGAAAGGTTCAACTCCGTTAGTTGAGTACACACATCACAAACAAGTTTCACAGAATGCTTCTTTCTAGCTTGTAGGGGAAGATATTCCCTTTATCACCATGGGCCTCCAACCGTCCGAAACATCCACTTCCATATACTACAAAAAGAGCGTTTCAAACCTGCTCTATGAAAGGCAATGTTCAACTCTGTGACTTGAATGCAGACACCACAGAGCAGTTTCTGAGAATGCTTCTGTCCAGACTTTATAGGAAGATATTGCCGTTTCCAACGAAATCTTCACAGCTATCCAAATATCCACTTGCAGATACTACAAAAAGAATGTATCAAAAGTGCTCTGTCAAAAGGAAAGTTCTTCTCTGCTAGTTGAGTACATACGTCATAAAGAAGTTTCTGAGAATGTTTCTGTCTAGTGGTTATGGGAAGATATTTGCTTTTTCACCTTAGGCCTCAGAGAGCTCCAAATATCCCCTTGCACATACTACAAAAAGAGTGCTTCAAAGCTGCTCTCTGAAAGGGAATGTTCAAATCTATGAGTTGAATGCAAACATCACAAAGACGTTTCTGAGAATGCTTCTGTCTAGATTTGATATGAAGATATTCCCGTTTCCAACGAAATCTTCAAATCTATCCAAATGTCCACTTGCAGATTCAACAAAAGGTGTTTTTCAGAACTGCTCTATGAAAAGAAAGATCCACCTCTGTTAGCTGAGTTCACACATCACAAACAAGTTTATGAGAATGCTTCTGTCTAGTTTTTATTTGAAGATATTTCCTTTCTCACCATAGAGATGAAAGCTGTCCTAATGTTCACTTCCAGATACTACAGAAAGAGTGTTTCAAAACTGCTGTACGAAAGGGAATGTTCAACTCTGTGACTTGAATGCACACATCACAAAGAAGTTTCTGAGGATGCTGCTGTCTACTTTTTATGCGTAATCCCGTTTCCAACGAAATCCTCCAAGCTATCCAAATATCCACTTGCAGATTCCACAGAAAGACTGTTTCAAAACTGCTCTGTCAATAGAAAGGTTTAACTCTGTTAGCTGCGTGCATATATCCCAAAGAATATTCTGAGATTGCTTCTGTCTAGTTTTTATGGGAAGATATTTACCTTTTCACTTTAGGTGTCAAGGCGCTCCAAATGTCCACTTCCAGATACTACAAAAAGAGTATTTCAAACCTACTCTGTGAAAGGGAATATTCAACTCTGTGACTTGAATGCAGATATCACAAAGAAGTTTCTGAGAATGCTTCTGCCGAGATTTTAAAAGAAGATATTCCCGTTTCCAAGGAAATCCTGATATCTATCCAAATATCCCCACGCAGATTCTACAAAAAGAGTGTTTCAAAACTGCTCTGTAAAAAGAAAGGTTCAACTCTGTTAGTTGAGTACACACATCACAAACAAGTTTCACAGAATGCTTCTTTCTAGCTTGTAGGGGAAGATATTCCCTTTATCACCATGGGCCTCAAACCGTCTGAAACGTCCACTTCCATATACTACAAAAAGAGCATTCCAAACCTGCTCTATGAAAGGCAATGTTCAACTCTGTGACTTGAATGCAGACATCACAGAGCAGTTTCTGAGAATGCTTCTGTCTAGATTTTATAGGAAGATATTCCCGTTTCCAACGAAATCTTCACAGCTATCCCAATATCCACTTGCAGATTCTACAAAAAGAGTGTATCAAAACTGCTCTGTCAAAAGGAAGGTTCTTCTCTGTTAGGTGAGTGCATACGTCATAAAGCAGTTTCTGAGAATGTTTCTGTCTAGTGGTTATGGGAAGATATTTGCTTTTTCACCGTAGGCCTCAGAGCGCTCCAAATATCCACTTGCACATACTACAAAAAGAGTGCCTCAAAGCTGCTCTCTGAAGCGGAATGTTCAACTCTATGAGTTGAATGCAAACATCACAAAGACGTTTCTGAGAATGCTTCTGTCTAGATTTGATATGAAGATATTCCCGTTTCCAACGAAATCTTCAAATCTATCCAAATGTCCACTTGCAGATTCAACAAAATGTGTTTTTCAGAACTGCTCTATCAAAAGAAAGATCCACGTCTCTTAGCTGAGTTAACACATCACAAACAAGTTTATGAGAATGCTTCTGTCTAGTTTTTATTTGAAGGTATTTCCTTTCTCACCATAGACCTGAAAGCTGTCCTAATGTTCACTTCCAGATACTACAGAAAGAGTGTTTCAAAACTGCTGTACGAAAGGGAATGTTCAACTCTGTGACTTGAATGCCCACATCACAAAGAAGTTTCTGAGGATGCTGCCGTCTATTTTTTATACGTAATCCCGTTTCCAACGAAATCCTCCAAGCTATCCAAATATCCACTTGCAGATTCTACAAAAAGAGTGTTTCAAAACTGCTCTGTAAAAAGAAAGGTTCAACTCTGTTAGCTATGTGCATATATCCCAAAGAAAATTCTGAGATTGCTTCTGTCTAGTTTTTATGGGAAGATATTTCCCTTTTCACCGTAGGCGTCAAGGCGCTCCAAATGTCCACTTCCAGATACTACAAAAAGAGTGTTTCAAACCTACTCTGTGAAAGGGAATATTCATCTCTGTGACTTGAATGCACATATCACAAAGAAGTTTCTGAGAATGCTTCTGTCGAGATTTTATATGAAGATATTCCCGTTTCCAACGAAATCCTGAAATCTATCCAAATATCCCCTCGCAGATTCTACAAAAAGAGTGTTTCAAAACTGCTCTGTGAAAAGAAAGGTTCAACTCTCTTAGTTGAGTACACACATCACAAACAAGTTTCACAGAATGCTTCTTTCTAGCTTGTAGGGGAAGATATTCCCTTTGTCACCATGGGCCTCAAACCGTCCGAAACGTCCACTTCCATATACTACAAAAAGAGCGTTTCAAACCTGCTCTAGGAAAGGCAATGTTCAACTCTGTGACTTGAATGCAGACATCACAGAGCAGTTTCTGAGAATGCTTCTGTCTAGATTTTATAGGAAGATATTCCCGTTTCCAACGAAATCTTCACAGCTATCCAAATATCCACTTGCAGATTCTACAAAAAGAGTGTATCAAAACTGCTCTGTCAAAAGGAAGGTTCTTCTCTTTTAGGTGAGTGCATACGTCATAAAGGAATTTCTGAGAATGTTTCTGTCTAGTGGTTATGGGAAGATATTTGCTTTTTCACCGTAGGCCTCAGAGCGCTCCAAATATCCACTTGCACATAGTACAAAAAGAGTGCTTCAAAGCTGCTCTCTGAAACGGAATGTTCAACTCTATGAGTTGAATGCAAACATCTCAAAGACGTTTCTGAGAATGCTTCTGTCTAGATTTGATATGAAGATATTCCCGTTTCCAACGAAATCTTCAAATCTATCCAAATGTCCACTTGCAGATTCAACAAAAAGTGTTTTTCAGAACTGCTCTATCAAAAGAAAGATCCACCTCTGTTAGCTGAGTTCACACATCACAAACAAGTTTATGAGTATGCTTCTGTCTAGTTTTTATTTGAAGATATTTCCTTTCTCACCAAAGACCTGAAAGCTGTCCTAATGTTCACTTCCAGATACTACAGAAAGAGTGTTTCAAAACTGCTGTACGAAAGGGAATGTTCAACTCTGTGACTTGAATGCACACATCACAAAGAAGTTTCTGAGGATGCTGCTCTCTACTTTTTATACGTAATCCCGTTTCCAACGAAATCCTCCAAGCTATCCAAATATCCACTTGCAGATTCCACAGAAAGACTGTTTCAAAACTGCTCTGTCAATAGAAAGGTTCAACTCTGTTAGCTGCGTGCATATATCCCAAAGAAGATTCTGAGATTGCTGCTGTCTAGTTTTTATGGGAAGATATTTCCCTTTTCACCGTAGGCGTCAAGGCGCTCCAAATGTCCACTTCCAGATACTACAAAAAGAGTGTTTCAAACCTACTCTGTGAAAGGGAATATTCAACTCTGTGACTTGAATGCACATATCACAAAGAAGTTTCTGAGAATGCTTCTGTCGAGATTTTATATGAAGATATTCCCGTTTCCAACGAAATCCTGAAATCTATCCAAATATCCCCTCGCAGATTCTACAAAAAGAGTGTTTCAAAACTGCTCTGTGAAAAGAAAGGTTCAACTCTGTTAGTTGAGTACACACATCACAAACAAGTTTCACACAATGCTTCTTTCTAGCTTGCAGGGGAAGATATTCCCTTTATCACCATGGGCCTCCAACCGTCCGAAACATCCACTTCCCTATACTACAAAAAGAGCGTTTCAAACCTGCTCTATGAAAGGCAATGTTCAACTCTGTGACTTGAATGCAGACATCACAGAGCAGTTTCTGAGAATGCTTCTGTCTAGATTTTATAGGAAGATATTCCAGTTTCCAACGAAATCTTCACAGCTATCCAAATATCCACTTGCAGATTCTACAAAAAGAGTGTATCAAAACTGCTCTGTCAAAAGGAAGGTTCTTCTCTGTTAGGTGAGTGCACACGTCATAAAGGAGTTTCTGAGAATGTTTCTGTCTAGTGGTTATGGGAAGATATTTGCTTTTTCACCGTAGGCCTCAGAGCGCTCCAAATATCCACTTGCACATGCTACAAAAAGAGTGCTTCAAAGCTGCTCTCTGAAAGGGAATGTTCAACTCTATGAGTTGAATGCAAACATCACAAAGACGTTTCTGAGAATGCTTCTGTCTAGATTTGATATGAAGATATTCCCGTTTCCAACGAAATCTTCAAATCTATCCAGATGTCCACTTGCAGATTCAACAAAAAGTGTTTTTCAGAACTGCTCTATCAAAGGAAAGATCCACCTCTGTTAGCTGAGTTCACACATCACAAACAAGTTTATGAGAATGCTTCTGTCTAGTTTTTATTTGAAGATATTTCCTTTCTCACCATAGACCTGAAAGCTGTCCTAATGTTCACTTCCAGATACTACAGAAAGAGTGTTTCCAAACTGCTGTACGAAAGGGAATGTTCAACTCTGTGACTTGAATGCACACATCACAAAGAAGTTTCGGAGGATGCTGCTGTCTACTTTTTATACGTAATCCCGTTTCCAACGAAATCCTCCAAGCATTCCCAATATCCACTTGCAGATTCCACAGAAAGACTGTTTCAAAACTGCTCTGTCAATAGAAAGGTTCAACTCTGTTAGCTGCGTGCATATATCCCAAAGAAGATTCTGAGATTGCTTCTGTCTACTTTTTATGAGAAGATATTTCCCTTTTCACCGTAGGCGTCAAGGCGCTCCAAATGTCCACTTCCAGATACTACAAAAAGAGTGTTTCAAACCTACTCTGTGAAAGGGAATATTCAACTCTGTAACTTGAATGCACATATCACAAAGAAGTTTCTGAGAATGCTTCTGTCGAGATTTTATATGAAGATATTCCCGTTTCCAACGAAATCCTGAAATCTATCCAAATATCCCCTCGCAGATTCTACAAAAAGAGTATTTCAAAACTGCTCTGTAAAAAGAAAGGTTCAACTCTGTTAGTTGAGTACACACATCACAAACAAGTTTCACAGAATGCTTCTTTCCAGC